>NC_000006.12:99161699-99313214 GCF_000001405.40 Homo sapiens | reverse complement strand
CTCAAGCGATCCTTCTGCCTCATCGTCCCGAGGAGCTGGGACCACAGGCGTGTGCCACCACACCCAGCTAATTTTTGTATTTTTTGTAGCGATGAGGTTTTGCCATGTTGCCCAGGCTGGTCTTGAATTCCTGTGCTCAAGTGGTCCGCCTGCCTTGGCCCCACAACGTGCTGGGATTGTAGACGTAAGCCACTGCACCTGGCCTCAACCTCTTTAATATCAGAGAAATGCAAGCTAAAAAATGAGGCACTTCTCTGTCAATCAAATTGGCATATTTTGTTTTTGTTTTGTTTTTTAAATAATATGAAGGAGTATCAGCAGAGGTATGGGAGAGGCATTGACATATTCTTGTGGTAGGAGTAAAAATTAGTATGTAGTTTTAGTAGTTTCAAAAGATAAAATATCATATTTCTAACATTTACTTATTAAGTAATTCAACCTTCAGGATTTTTTTCCTAGGAAAATATTAGAAAGATTTAACTAGAAGGAGAATTCAATACTAAAATATTGCAACCTTACAGTTATTAATAGTATGGCTTTTTGGTCTGGAGTCTCTGATTTTTGTTTGAGATAGTAGCTGGAAACTTAAGCTGCTGTAGGCGCTTGCTCTCACTTTCCCTACCCTCTTCTCCCTTATGTTGTCAACTTTCCCTTTCTTCAGCTGGGAGTCTGAGGGTTTAACGGGTACACAACATGTATAAGTTGGTGTATCTTCAGACACCCACTTGTAGATCATTTGTGAATAATCTGCATGTCTCTCTATGAATGAGTGATACCCTTTCATTAGTCCTCTAATGAGGACTACCTAAAGAAATGATCACTACTGCAGAGAATGCTCTGAAGAGCTGAACAGTGTGCATTGGTGTCACCAGGTTGGAGTTCAGTGGACCGAGGCTGGACCTGTCTCCCAGAGTGTTCCCAGCAAACCTGTTCCGTGCTCCCAGGCAGCTGGTGCTTTCTTTTTCAGAGCTCACCTTGCACCCTCTTCTAATGGTTTGGTTTGAGTGTTTCCTCAGCTGGACTCTGTGCCAGGCCTGGCAGATTCCTCCTTTGTCTTGAGAGCCCAACTGAGTGCCTGGAACACATGAGGCATCCAGCAGATATTTATTGAACAAGAGTGTAAGGAGCAGTTTTGGGATTGTGCTTTTAAAAGAAAAATGGCCAAACTAGTGTGTTTCCAGAGGAGGCTGGTCAGGAGTAGTTAGTGGGGAAAAAATTTCATGTGAGGAATTTGAGGATACTGGGCATGGATAGTATGGAGAAGTAAAGCTATCAGGTAATATACTAACTTTTTTCAAATACTTAAAAGTGGCTAATGACTTAGTTGTCACTGTAGATGACAGGCATAAGAGGGAGGGGAGAAGAGACAGAGAGGAAGGTGAGATGTATATTTGGAGAAATAATAGCTTTCAACTCAGGGTAAGGCAGAATTTTAAGACAGAGCTGTCCACAATTGGGAGGACTTGTGGTGTGGCCTGAGCTGCTATTCTCCAGATGAGGTTGGATGACCACTGTCATGATAGCTGAGGAGGGGTCTTTTTTACAGATGGTGAGATGTTTAGAAATGGGAGGTCTTTCTAGTTCTAATGGTTTCATGATTTTATTTATGTATGTATGTATGTATTTATTTATTTATTTTTGAGACGGAGTCTTGCTCTATTGCCCAGGCTAGAGTGCAGTGGCACAATCTTGGCTTACTGCAACCTCCACCTCCCAAGTTCAAGCAATTCTCCTGCCTCAGCCTCCCGAGTAGCTGGGATTACAGGTGCCCACCACCGTGCCTGGCTAATTTTTGTATTTTTAGTAGAGATGGGGTTTTACCATCTTGGCCAGGCTGGTCTCGAACTCCTGACCTCGTGATCCACCCACCTCGGCCTCCCAAAGTGTTGGGATTAAAGGTGTGAGCCACCGTGATTGACTTCATGATTTTATGTTCACTCTCTGGGGAGAAGAGTAGAGTCATTTTATAAGTCATGAAACAAGGCAGAGGCCAAAGTAGAGATTGGTTGTCTCGAATTCTGTTTGCTCTGTTGGGTTGTGATTTATGTTTAGGCTGCTACTCACCCCTGCTGAAGTCTCAGTGCTTTAAAGCATTCGTGTTTACAGCACTACTCTACATCCATTGTTACTAAATCTATGCTTTGAACAATGAATCTTCCACTTCTTTTAAAATTTTTTTCTCTTTTTACTTGGACAGTAGCAAAATTGTTTTTGTTTTTAAGAAAGCTTTGGGATAGGCTGTTTTAATACCTGCTCTTCCTACTCTGTTTAATTAGATCATGCAACAGCACCTCATAGAGATGCCCACCTCATCTCCACATTAGGCCTTCAAGTCTTGGCCAGAAGCTGCTTGCTTACAACACAGCAGCCACACACTCATACCTTCTATGAAAGTGAATGGGAAAAGCCTTCAGAACCAGGCAGTGGAAAAGGATGAACATCTACGCACACATGTTAGCACATTTAGCATATGCTGAGTAACTGGGAACAGAGATCAGAGAAGAAAAGTGAAGACATGGAAGTAATTATGCCTGTCAATCTAGCTAGAAAGATAAAATACACAGATAAAAGAAAAAAACCATAGACATTGAAAGTAATGAGCTGGAACCTCAAAGCAGTGTTTCCTATTGCAGGTTCTAAGCATTCTCTAAACTACAGGGGCTTGTCTTGAGCAGTGGCTTTCAGCCCTGACTGCTCATTTAGAATCACCCAGGGAGGTGGGGAGCGGGAGGGTGGTGCTTTTAAAACACAGCTATGCGGGCACCACACCAGAACAGATAATTCAGCCTCTGGGAAAGGGGTCTGGGGGAAGGTAGTTTAAAACTCACCAGGTAATTCAAATGTGTCTGTAACCCAATATAGGGCAGGGATGCAGGAGGGAAGGGCCGCGTGAGGGCACTGTGCCTTGGTTTGGGCAGGCACCAAATGGGAGAACATTGTAGTCTTTTATAGAGGAGGTGATAAAATCTAGAACAAATCAGGCCTACTTCAGTTTTGCCAGAAAGGTTACCTTTGCTCGGTCTGTCTGCATGGTACACAACCCAGCCCTTCTTTCCATGTCAAAAACCAGTTGCCTAGACAGTAGACTTTTTTGGTGTGAGTAAATTTTAGATGCTATTTTTAGTAGCACCTTGAAGGTAACTCTGGTCTTAAAACAGCTCCGAGAGTGAGTTATTGTATGGGTGAGCGGGCCAGATGGGGTTCAGAAGGGCTAGGGAATGGGTCTAAGGCCACTCAGCAAATGACAGTGCTTTTCTTCTGTTCCAGTAGAACTTCTGTGTGTTTACGTTGGTGGTTTGTTAATGTCACATGCCAGAAGAATAATAATTTGACCTGAAAACCATAAATTTTAACTTTACCTGTATTGATTGCATTCTGGTGAGTACCTCACCCTCTTACAAGTTCATACCGGAGTCCTGTGCTCATCCATTGAAGTGGAAGTGATTTACTCTGACGGGTCTTTACTTATTATTCAATAACTCTTAAGTTGCTCACTGCTCTCTAAGGGAGAGGACCATTAGATCATACACTCAGAAAGCATTAACTCTTCTTTTCACTCAGCCTCTCCATTCCAGACTTCCAGAGGACCGAGGGCCTGGTATCTTTCAATAGCTGGGGATTGTGGGACCAGGCCCCATCCATGCTGGCAATTCTTATGGGGACCAGGTAGTGGAGGTCTTGAATTGTGATTTATTTGTTTTCCATTTTCCTTGTTGCTATCTGAATTGGTAAAACTATGTTGATTATTCATGAAAATGAAAAAATTAGTTTTAGCAGAATAAAATTAAATGCTAATAAATACCGAGTTCTTAGAAATCCTTGTGGCTTACTTAGCGATACAAACGGATTGCTACAATTCTGACAGGCTCTATCTGGTCTCTATTTCTGGGTCTTTATCCTGGGTATATTTTAGCTTTTTCTTCCTCTGAGAAAAGCGACTTTGACTTTGTGCTTAAATTTCAGGGTTCCAATTACTGAATGATTACAATAAAAGAAAAAAAAAACCCTTACAAGATAGCATCATGTAGACAATAGTCTTTAAAAAATCTTTATGAGTACACATCCCTTATGTGTGTTTATGTGTTAGAGGTGAATATAGAATGGGAAGGCTCAGCACTTCCCTTTCATCCCCACCCGTAAGTTGCCAGCTATGGAAGCTCTCCCAGTGTGTGTTCTGCTGGGCTGATTTGCCTGGATACAATTCAGGAGGAATTACAGATAAGTGATGACCTGGCATATTGTAATACATTGTCAATTGTTTGGTGCTTGGTCAACCTAACAAATTATTTCTATTTATTTAAATGATTCAACTTATATAATAAACGAAAATTTTAAAAAATTGGAAAAAAAGTAGTTATCTTTCATTATTCTGTCACCTAACTCAGTAACTATTTCCTATTTCCGTATACTTTCCACATACATATTTTTATGGATACACATCTCTTTGTATCCTGTTTATTTTTTAAAAGCAAACACTAAACATTTTTCTCTGTATTGACGTATTTTAAAAGTTTATCTCTTTTAATAGCTGCATAATGTTTAATTGTGTTGGAAAGTACCTGTATTGATTCCTTTAAAGTTAGTCCAGTTTTTTTTTTTTTTTTGAATTATAGATGACTCTTTCATGTCTGGATGCATTACTTCTGAGGAATAATTTCCCTGAGATAAGTTCATAGGAGTGAAATTACTGGGTGAAGGATTATGCACATTGTTAGGTCTGTTCCTAGGCATCGCCATGGTGCTCTCCAAAAGATGCACAAATTGACAAAGTGACCAGTAAAAGACTGAGGCTTCAATGCCACGTGGTCTTACCAGTATCAGATCTTACTACTCAAAAATAGTTTACCACTTTATTCATTGTAAACTGATTTTCTGATTCTTCTGATTCTTTAATCACTTGTAAGAATAAATATTTTTCCTTTTTGGATTTTTCTCTGTTGCCCAGGCTGGAGTGCAATGGCACAACCTTGGCTCACTGCAATCTCCGCCTCCCAGGTTCAAGCAATTCTCCTGCCTCAGCCTCCCAAGTAGATGGGATTACAGGCACCTGCCACCATGCCTGGGTAATTTTTGTATTTTTAGTAGAGACGAGGTTTCACCATGTTGGCCAGGCTGGTCCCGAACTCCTGATCTCAGGTGATCCACCTGCCTCATCCTCCCAAAGTGCTAGGATTACAGGTGTAAGCCACTGCGACTGGCCTGGATTTTTCTAATCATGTATTGTCTTTGATTTGTCCCAATCCTTTATCCATTTTTCCAGTGAATGTTGAGGTTTTTTTTTTAAATGTCATTTGATCTATTTATATTTCACAGCGTTGTCTCTGATGTTTGAGGGAAATATTTCCTGAGAGTCACATGGAATCTTAAAGGTTTATGTGGAGGGACACTGACTTAGGCTCATCCTCTTTGTGGCAATCCCCATCCCACTGTAGGCATCGCAGCGCTTGTGTGAACCTTTTGTCCAGCACCTCACAGCAGTGAGCCTCAGCCCTGCAGTTACCTCACTCTTTCCATTAAACCGCCCTCTCCTATAGGCCAGCTCCAGACTTAACTGGTTCCTGGGGCCCTCTGACCCCTGACCTTGCCCTCACAGCCTGCAAGTGCACTCCTGCTTAGCCCGCAACACCCCACCCTTGATCTTTGCCTGCCTCCAGACCTCCCCACTGCTGCCACAGTGGATTAGCCCCTTCCCATATTGACTTCCCTTCCACTCAGTCAAGACTGAGCTCAGTCATGGAAGCCACTCTCTCCGTAGTATCCCCCATCGGTGCCCCAGCCTTTCACTCACCTCATCCGTCTGGGAGTCAGCCCCATCGGCTCATTGTTCTCTCCATTCGGGCCTTTGAGTACAAATTATCTTTCCTGTCTTTAACTCTTATCTCTTTAAGTCTCGTATCTTTAAAGACACCACCCAGTTCTGTCCTGTCTCCTGCTTTCCCTTCACACAAAAGTGTATTTAAAATGTAGCAGATGCTCTTCCCTTATCTCCCATTTACTCTAAGAGCCACTGCATCCTGACTCCCAGACCTGCTACTAGTTGGCTCTTGAAAGGGTAAATAATACCCTACCATTCAAAAGCATTCCTATTATGTTTTGGCTTTTTGGAAGTAGGAAGCTTCTACTGGAGAGAGAGGAACCGAGGAGCCCTTCTTCTCTTCTGTAATGCTAATGGAAATGAGATTTCTTGGGTGTATTAAACTACAAAGGACAGGCTTTCTCCTCTGGAAGGTTTATCCCACCTTTTCAGCTCCAGAGATTCCCAGCTCCCTCTTGATGAGACATTAGTCTCTTGTAGTTTCAGGTGATCCCCGGTTGTTGGATGTAGCAACTACTAACACATGCAGGCACTTACTCCGTGCCAGCACTATTCTGAGAGCTTTTCAGGTATTAACTTATTTCATGCTCACAACGATCCTATCCATGAGGAAATTTAGGCACAAACAAGTAACTTGCCCAGGGACACCAAGCTTGTAAATGGTAGAGCTTAAATTTCAACCTAGTCTAGGAGAAGCCAGAAGTCATTGCTGAACACTTTTTAGCCTTTATCTTACATATTGGATTTCTCTGATCCTTCATCCCTGCTTTTTCTTAAATGTATCAGTTGTTAACAGGATTCCAGCCCCCACCCTGTTCATCTCACATTGCATACTCCCACATATTTATCTCCGCACACTCCCACATGTAATCACTCTCCTTTATCCCAGCTGTTTTCTAGATCTTCACTTAGATGTCCCAGAGCCTGCAGAAATTCAGCACATCCTACAACAGAACTCTTCATCCTCCCAACAACCCAGCATTCCCTCTGACCTCTCTCCATGAATGGCAGCACCGTCCATCCAGTTGCTCCATCTGGATGCCAGAAGTCATTCTCGAGGGCTCCTTCTGCGTCATTTCCACTGGGCTTTCAAAGCCCTGTACTGCCTGACCTCTCCAGTCTCATTTCATAGACCCCGGCCCTTGCCTGCTGTATCTTAACCACACGGTTCTCTCTGCCTCACAGACACTCCAAGCTTATTCTGATTTTCAGGCCTGTGCCTTAACTCTTCCCCTGCCTGGAATTCTCTTCCTCCAGATCTTTGCCTGCTCGATCCTGCTTGACATTCATGTCTCTGTCTAAATAGCGCTTCCACAGAGAGGCCTTCCCTGACCACCCACTCTAATGTAGCTGCCAGCCACCCTCTATCACATCACCTTGCTTTAATTCTCTGCGTAGCGCTGATCATTGGCTGCTTTTTTTAATTGATTGATTGATTTGCTTATTGTCTCTTCATGTGATGTAAACTCCGTGAGAGCAGTGACCTTGTCTGTTCCATTTGTCACTGTATCCCACTCACCCAGAGCCATGTCTTGTAAATAGTCAAAATAATATTGATTAATATTGATAAGAACTGACATTTATGGAGCATTTACAGTGTGCTTAGGCACATAGTAATGCAATATATAATATATACCCTTATGTATAATATACCTACCCTCAAAACTATATATAATATATATATGTTATAATATGTATTATGCATATATGTATAATATATAAAATACCTACTATATATATTTTTTCCTATGGTGATATAGCAATATCTATATTATTCTCATGGGTTTGGTGAGAGTTAAATGCGGTAGAAATTGTTCTCATTAATTTTCACTAAAGGCATATGAGGGTAGGTAGTATTATTATCATTAGTATTATTATGCCTGGTTTGTAAATGAGGAAACTGAGGTACATTGTAGTGAATTAGCTTACCTGAGATCATGACTAATAAGGGGTGGGGGTCAGGCCTGGCCCTGGGAGTCTGGCTGTAGAGCCAGATGCTCAGTAAGTGCTTGCTTACCGAACAGATGGCTCTAATTCATCACCGGGGTGCTCACTAGGTACCTGAATCTCTAGGTACTTCCTTTCTGCCCCGCAACCATGGTAGAAACACCTCATGTCTATTGCCTGGATTTTAACCACAGTTTCTTAGCTGATGTCCCAACCTCCAGTTTTGGTTTTTAACACTAAGAGTGGTTACCTTGAAATGCAGACTAGAACTGTAGGCTCTCAGTTCCTCTTAGGCTAAAATTCAAACTCCTTTTCTCCACAAGCTGAATTCTCACATCTCCAACCTCATCTTCTTTTTCCCCGTATGTGCCTTGATTCCTGCCACACCAAATTACGCTTATTCCCTGAAGTCCACTGTGCTGTTCTGCAACTTCGTGCCTTTACACAGGCTATTTCCCCTGCTTTGCTTCACTTCACAGTTTCTCAAAACTTATTTCCACTTACTTAGAAACTTTCTTAAGGTTCTTCCTAACCTCCCCCAGCCTCCCTGGGCTATGTTGGAGGTGCTTCTCTTCTCTGCTGTTGCACTGAGCTTGTACTTCCATCAAGGGAGTGCTGTGTTATACTTGTCTGGGTTCTTCCTGACCTCCTCCCCTCCCCTACTTTCTGGTAACCTTGCCTGTGGACATTGTCATCCTGAAGGAATTGACTGGCTTCCCTCTAATCCTGGTCTCTAACAGAAGGCCTAGTAAACAGTAGGCACTCAATAACTATTTGCTGAATGGATACTAACTTCCCAAGGTCAGTTGAGGCAATCCACAATGTTATAATACATATAAGACAGGGCAATATAATATATTACAAAACATTAATAGAAAAGTTTCAGAAGCCTGTTAGAAAAAGTATCATGCTTTTGGAATGAGCTAATTCCTGAGATTAGGTGCAATTTAACTTTGAGCTTTTGGCAACCAAGGTAAAAAGGGAAACGTGGGGTTTGTGTTTATTTTCTAAGAAAAGGAAACACTCAAGTTCTTCAATGGGGACAATTTTTTTCTTGGTCCTGAATTCTAGGAGAAGATTCTTCCATGGATGTTATATAAGGGAGAGTGGGTTTCCTTGTGGACAGTGTTTTTTTTTTAAATTATTTTATTTATTTTTTATTTTTTGAGGCAGAATTTTGCTCTTTTTGCCCAGGCTGGAGTGCAATGGTGCAATCTCGTCTCACTGCAACCTCTGCCTCCTGGATTCAAGCGATTCTCCTGCCTCAGCCTCCTGACTAGCTGGGATTACAGGTGTGCTCTCCCACGCCCGGCTAATTTTTTTGTAGTTTTAGTAGAGATGGGGTTTCACCATGTTGGCCAGGCTGGTCTCAAACTCCTGACTTCAGGTGGTGATCCACCCGCCTCAGCTCCCAAAGTGTTGGGATTACAGGCATGAGCCACCACACCCGGCCGACCGTGTTTTTTGAATATAAACTTTTGTAAAAACCTTTCTTAATAAAAGCTCAGGATTGAATGTTGAAGCTCCAAAAGCATTTCTTTGAAGATCTACTTTAACATATCTCCTATATATTTTTTTCTGATCAAAATTATTATAGAGGTAGAGCTTAAAGAGCCTAGAGGTTTTGATAACTTGCCTTACAACCATGGCACAGGCACCTCTTAGACTCACCTTCTAATACAAGTTATTTTTTATGGGAGAGAGGGCAAGCCATGACAAGTCTTGAATGAAACTGTTTTACATTTAATATTTTGGTGACCTCCAGAGGTATAGCTCTCCCATGTTGTTGGTAAAAGAGAAGTCTTGTTGCATTAGACACTAGGTGTTCTAACCTTGGGCATTCTCTTAAGAGAACATAAGGGCCTAACTTGTCATGCTGCCTGGTTAGAAGGTCATCTTGCCCTCCTAGGGCAGTGCATTAGAGTAGTATGGGACAGGCCAGAATACTTCTTCATGAACTTTTAGCTCAAGCACCTATACACGTCCTTGGTTGAACCCCAGAGTTCTAGACCCTGGAGTTCCATGTCATCAAGTATTGAAAGAGATAATTTTGGTCTAAAATATTTAAGGGCAAGGTATTATAAATAGTTGCCATTTACTAAAAGTTAAGTATATTTACTGAACACCTACAGTATACTGGGCACTGGGCTGGGTACTAGGATGTAGTCCTAGTGTTCAAGTAGAGTTCATCATCTGGTGTGACTTCTGTCCTTACTGAGTATACAATCTAGACAAAATCACAAGAAAAACATTTTGATGAGACCATCAGGGCATATAGGTACCAAATAGGTCCCAAAGGACTTAGTTCACTTGTCGGAGAGGTTATTTAGCATTGCCTATTTAAACATTGGAGGATGTCTCCCAAATGTTATAATTTAAAATTTAGCATAGTTAATATACTTTTTTTCCCACTGACCCCACTGTAAGTGAACAAGATCAGACGATTTTGATTTTTTATGATCACATTTTTCCAACAGAAAAGTCAAAGAGCAGTACAATGAACAACTTTACAATCACCACCTAGATTTAATAGTTATGTTGTTATATTTGCTTTACCTATTTTTTTTTTTGTACAGAAGTATTTTAAAGTAAATTACAGATATCATGACATTTAACTTCTAATCACTTTTGAATGTAGCTCTGGTAAATAAGGATGTTTTCTTCTTGTGGTAGGCAGCCCCCAAAATGGATCACAGTGACCCCTACCTCCTGCTGTATGGCCTCTTGTGTATTCCTCTCCCTGTGAGTGTAGGCTGGACCTAGTGATATGCTTTTATTTTTATTTTTTTATTTTTTTGAGACAGAGTATTGCTCTGTAAACCAGGCTGTAGTGCAGTGGTGTGATCTTGGCTCACTGCAACTTCTGCCTCCTGGGTTCAAGTGATTCTCCTGCCTCAGCCTCCTGAGTAGCTGGGACCACAGGCATGCGCCACCACGCCCAGCTAATTTTTGTATTTTTGGTAAAGACAGGGTTTCACCATGTTGGCCAGGCTGGTCTTGAGCCCCTGACCTCAAGTGATCTGCCCATCTCGGCCTCCCAAAGTGCTGGGATTACAGGTGTGAGCCACTGCGCGTGGCCGTGATTTGCTTTTAACAAGAAGAATGTGGCAGAAGCATTGGGATGACCCAACATTCAATAACAAAATGAATGTGGCTTCTATCTTAGGCATCTTTCTTTCTTCCTCTTGCCCTCTCACTTGTTTGCTCTGACAGAAGCCAGCTCTGAGGTGAACTGATCTATGGAGAGGTCCATGTGGCAAGAAATGAATATCTTTGGCCATGAGCCAGTGAGGACCTGAGATGTACTAACAACCGTGTGAGTGAGTTTGGAAGGAGATCCTCCCCAAGTCAACCCTTGAGATAACTGCAAAGGGCTGGCATCTTCATTGCAGCCTGTGAGACACCTTGAGCAGAGGCACCCAGCAGAGGCACTCAGCTAAGGCTATCTGGTTTCTTGACCCACAGAAACTGCAAGATAATACATGTCTGTTGCTAAGCTGCAAAATTTGGGGGTAACTTATTATGCAGACAGCAATAACTAATATACCTACATAGCCCCAATCCTATTAATCCCAGTAGGTACTTCTTTCAGCTGCTGCTGGGCTGTGCAGAGTAAAGCCAGGTTGTCAGAAGAGGTTGTCATAGCTTATCCTGCTATGGTGGGTGGCAAGTACCCGATCTCAGTTGCCTCAAGTTATTTATTTAGATAAAAGGTTTTACATCTTGTAGAAGTAGAATCTTATCTTTCAGTCTCTCCAGGGACTATTATTATTAGCCATTCTGATTTTAGCAGGAGGATTCTCATCTTGGCTGTGAAGAAACCAGGATCTATTCCAAGATTACAGAGCTTGGCACACAAGAGGTTTCTGTTTCTGGCTTCAGTGATCTTTGAGAAAGAAGTATGCACTGGAGAAAGTTCTGTGGCCATCCTGGTTTTTATTCACTTTGTTTTCTTCTTAAAATTTTTTGATTTTTAATTTTTGTGGGTACATAGTAGGCATATATATTTATGAGGTACATGAGATGTTTTGATACAAGCATGCAATGCCTGTGGCCATTCTTAACCATTGAATTGTCAGGGCACAGAGACAAGCACATTCGGTAGAGGAGTAACGTGGTCTCCCACAGAGTAGAAGATAGAGATTCACTCCTGCACTTGAAGAGAAGCATCACAAAGAGTTTTGACATGATGTCCAGCATACTGATGAGTGTATGGTTTGAGAAGGTTTAGGATTTCCATGTTTAAATATAAGGTCGAACACAATTTGGTTTCCTCCTAAGGGATCCGTGCCTAGAGAGTTGATCTGAGCAAGGCTCACCACTCTGGGCAGGACCTAAACAGTGCTGGTGGTTAAAGATTTTTACCAGTTTTTGGTGATTATGTACATGTTTGAAAGTGGTTGAGTATCCTGGATTCCAGCTAAGGTGAAGCCTAAAATCCATAAAATGAAGAAAAGTCCTTCAGGAATGTGGAGTCTGCCTGCAGAGTTGAGCTTTTCTGGCCCCGAGGGCCAAACACAAAACCTCCCACTAGGATCTGCTGCTATTCAGCTTTCTCAAAAGATGGGCGAGTTCCTTATAAAAGGATTTGAACTTAAATTTCAACATGACATTGTGTTCTTTCTGATGTGGTGTTTCGTTAACCAGAATTTGGTGGCTACCAGATAGTCTTTATTGAATAAAGAGATAGAACAGCTGGTTCCTTTGATTGCCCAGCACAGGGCAGATGAGACAGAAATGAAATTGATGGGAAAGCCTGTCCTGGAATGCAGTTTGAATTGAGTGATATATTTTCTTTATCCTCAGAAGATGTATTTGGGAAAGTGATACTGGGGAGAGAGACTCATATAATTTTTATAGCCCTCAAATCTCACCATTTCAGCTGACTGTGCAGTCACTCAGAAGCAACAATATTGTAGCAGCTTCAAGAAGGGAGAGAACCAGGAAGGCTGATCATCAGTGAGTTGGTAAAACTGATATCTTTGTTGGAGATGTTAGCTGTAGATCTTTAAGACTTCCGGGAGCTGTTTAGTGATGCTAAATTGTAAGTGAGCCTGAGTAGGCATTTGCCTCATCCTGAGGAATACTTTCCTAATTTAGATGTGTAAAGTCTTTCCACACTGGTGCAAATCTTTCATCCAAGTTTCCTAAAATTATAAAGTATGCCCATGGATTCTCTGAGTGTCCAGAGTTCAGAAGGTGTTCAGACACATTAATAGAGGACCAAAGTACAGAGGAGGATACACAACCCTTTGCTTAGAGTCGGGGATTTATGTCCTTCCTGCTTTCATCCATAAGGAATTATAAGAGCTGGGACATCAGCAAAGAGACAGAGTGATGGTGGTATTGGTGGCCAGTGAGGAAGGTGTCGAGATAGTTCATATGAGCCGGAAAGAGATAAATTTTTGTGTGTTCTTTCAGAAAATCTTATTAAAAATTAAAGGAGTATCTAGTTGCTTTCTAGAATGAAATCTGAAGAGGGATTAAATTAAGGAGCTTCTTCTGGTATTTTCTCCACCCACCTTTATTTTTTCCCAGAATGTGAGCTAATTGGCGATCGTGAGCTAATCACAATCTATATAGTGATTTTAGAGTATGCTTGTAGTATGAAAACAAGGGCTTTGTGAAGGAAGTGGCTTGTCTTACATATTATTTCTGACAAAGTGGGGTCTGATCAGGAGTGTAAGAGAATAGGGAGTAGATTTTATTTTTCCTGTAGCTTTGCCCTCTGGGAGATTCACTTGCAGAAAAAAAGTTTTAAGTGTGTGCATTTAAGTGTGTGCTCTTTGATGCTTGGATAGTGAGATTACCGTGACCTCCTGTTTCATTGGGAAAAGCACTCAAAATCTTTGTTTCTTAATTTTTCTTCAATTTCTAGTTAATGAAAGGTGAGAGAGGGACAATTAGAAGTATGAATAATGTCCACATTGATTTTACTATAATTGCCTGCTTATAAATCACATGAGTGCTCAGGTATAGGGAGCCCTATGTAAAACACACAATTGTACTTTATGTCTTAGACTCATAGGGAAATGAGTCTTGGAAAATCTTTTGATTATTCTCTTTAGTTTCTCCCTTGAACTTATATTTTATAGCACAGCCAGTCTTGTCTCTTTTGTCACTTATAGAGTTTGGAAATTTAGCTAAATTGTGGAAGTGGAGCTGACAGTGACCAGTGGGAAGTGGGAAAAGAATTAGGGAGGAAGGAGATGAGATTCAGAAGTTCATTTCTGTAGTGTTTCCAGTGGTCTGAAATAAACTTTCTGTCCACCATCTCATAATGATATATATGAAAACAGGTGATCAGTTTTTCCTTAGAAGTATGTTAGTGGAGACTAGGAATGGGTGCTGTGGTAGAATAAATATGGCCATAATTTTTTTTTGTGAATTCCAGAGGAAAGAACTGAGATGCATGGTGGAAGTTCTAAGGAGACCATTTTGTTTCAGTATAAGGAACCATCTAAGCACAGAATAGTCTGCCCTACCCAGTAAATTATGGGAGAGAAGTTTCAGCAGGGTTGGGGTTGGGGATGGGGAGTATCTGGTAGGAAAGTGTGAGAAGGGATTCCTACACTTGGAGAGAGGTTGAACTGGTTCTGTCCACATTACTTGTTTTGATTGTTGGAAATGAGTATAAAAGAATTCCTTATGTTAGAATAGCACCTCCTAGCTTGCAAAATGCTTTCACATTATTATACTTTTTAATCACTATTATAGCTCTCCATTTTGAGAAAGGACAGAGATCAAACATAATTAAGGCTATCATAACCTTAATTGATGGTTCCTATGTGATAGGTACCAGATGGACAGAAAAGTAAAATAGAAGTTTACTTGCCCTCAAGGTGCTTAAAAATTATTTGAGGAGATAGGACCTACACGTAGGTAAGACTGCAAGATGGCTGTGTGATTTACCTAATGTGTGAGCTAGACCAGTGGTTCTCAAAGTGTGCTCCCTGGAGCAGCAGTATCAGCATTACTTGGGCTCTTGTTAGAAATGCAGATTCTTGGATCTCACTCTGTACCTACTGAATCAGAAACTCCTGGGATCAGGGACTTGAGTTAGTGTTTTTAAAAAGCTTTCAAGGCCAGGTGTGGTGCTGTATGCCTGGAATCCCAGCACTTTGGAGGACAAGGCGGCAGGATCACTTGAGCCCAGGAGTTCAAAACCATCCTGGGGAACATAACGAGGTCTCATCTCCACTAAAAAAGAAAAAAAAAAAAAAGCCTTCCAGGTGATTATACTACATGCTCAAGTTTAAGACCAATGATATACTCTAGCCCAGTACTTCTTAAGCTTCAGTGTGCACAAGAATCACCTGGAACAGTGCTATTCACAGTCTGGTCCAAGAACTGCAGACTATCCTGGTGATTTTAATACCTCTAAAGTTTGAGAAACCCTGACCCGAAAGCTTGTTAAACACAGGTTCTCTAGTCCCATTCCCAAGTATTCTGATTCAGTGATGGGATCTAAGAATGTCTAACTAACACTCAGGTGCTGCTGGTGCTGCTAGACTACTCTCTCAGTAGCCTCGCTCTAAGCAATTCGCCCCTCTGGGATTTAACAGAGGCGTGGACAATGAGAGGTTCCAGTAGACTGGGACCGTGTGGGAAGCCTTCATGCAGTGGAGGAGGTAGGACTTGGTCTGAGTCCTAATGGAAAGGTCAGGCTTAGATAGCCGGAGTTATTTGGGGCAGGGAGGATAGGATGAGCACCTGCATGTTTGACTGAAGTAGACCATTCATAGGAGGTAGAGCTCGGTTTGTCCTGCCCAGGTCTGGAGAGCATCACACACTGTCAGCTCTCATACATCCTCCCCAAGGGGGCGGCTCAGAGCCAGGCAGTGAGCAAACAGCCTAGGATTGTGAGCACTTCCTCAGTTATGCTGCGTATGGCACCCCCTCCCCCACTGGAACTTTCAGGGGCATGTGGCTCTCTGCTTGTCCCCTCCTATTCTCTTGGTTCCCTTGCTCATCAAGTTCAGCTCGCTTCAGCTTTGCAGCTTGCTTGTTCCCTCAATTTGGCCTAAGTCTTCAGGCCTGGATTCTGGCCATTCTTCTCAGACTCAATATTGCTTCCATTCTCCCTGGACAACTGTGTGTCTTTGTCCTCTATTGTTCTCCCTGCTCTGCTCATCCAGCCATCCGCTCAGTTAGTACTCAGTGGGGGTGAGGGACCTAGTCTACATGCTCAGTCCTCCTCCACATACTCTTGTCTTTGCTGTGTCCCTTATCTCCTGGTCAACCCTCTGTGGCTGCCCATGACAGAAGTGGAAGACAATGTGGGAAGGGCTGGTCAAGCTTGGCAGTCAGGATAAGCAGCCTTGGGTTAATCAAGTTCACTAAAGGCTTATAACCAATGATCCATGACAAAGTCCAATCACAGTGAACTCAAGTCTGGGTAAGAGAGCTGATATCCATCAGGACCCCTTAACATTCTTGTTATTCATGGTTTAGTACTTCCACTCAGTTTTTGGTCATCCTTGGGTGCCCCAGTGGTTCCTTCATCTACAATATGGCCTTCCTCACAGAGAGGAGCTGCCTAAACCACCCAGGAGAGGTCATATGAAATTTTACAGATATCCAGGGCCAACTGTCATTTTCCAGCCCCACAGTAGAACCAGCCCCTGCTACTCCCCCTATGGGCTCTCCTTCTCCAGATCCACTTGGCTCCTCCCTCTGGCTGCATGGTCACTGTCCTTGTATTTTATCCCTGGTCTGTGCTCTCTGATTGCCACTTGAAGACCAAGCCATGAGGTCTGTCGGGTCACTGCGGGAACCTGAAGTCACTTTGCTACTATCAGGATGTGGACTCACCCTCATCGTCAGGAGGGCTCTGCACCCTTGGGGAGGTGTTCTGGGTGCTTAGAAGCTGGCCTCAGGTGGAGCATACTTTAGAAGGTCTGATGTACCCTAGGTCCCTTCACACCCGGGGCTTTGATGTTTTCAACCTTCATTTTCCCTCACTGATGGTTCACAGTTCACATTCTGAGCTCGGAGGCTGGCAGGGGAGTTACAGGTGCCCACATATCCCTCAGCTGCTTCTGTCCATCCTATGGAAGTCACCGGATGGTTCACCTGCCAAAAATGAAGCTCACAGTGCCTCACCACCCAAGTCTCCTCCCTCAGTGCCCTTCACAAGTGTCCTGAGTGTTCTGCTTTTGCCAAAACCCCCTGGTCGTGAGATCCAGGGCCACTTTGCAAACCCCAAGAGTGCTGCAGTCCGAAGCCTTTAACTTGGCCTCTTTGTCTCTAAGCAGAGTCAACTCTTATTTGATTTCCTTTTAAAAATGTTTTTTTTGCCAAGCTCCCAAAGGCCAAAGCTGGAACAATTTGAGCAACAAAATAATGAGAGTATTGGATTATAACCTATAGAATAAAATAAATATCCATTAGTGCATACTTACATAAATAAATAATTGAATACATTAGGAAATGGGAAAGAAAGGACAGTAGAATTCTAATCAATACAAAGAATGAGAGAAATTGAAACTCACAATGAAGCAAACACTACAGTAATATTTGCTTCAGATAACATCCACCAATGGACACTAAAATTAGCAGGCCAAAGTTTGAGGAGAAACAGGATATTTATAAAGTCTCAAAGTGTCTCTGTCAAGATTATTAGTTACAAAGGAATAAATCTTAACTTTATAGTGAAAAATCTAGCAGATACCACCTTTACCACATGGTTACGGTTAATATCACAGTCATAAGATATAGGACATTATATGCTCCCTGATATGATGCCCTGCGAAGGTGTATTAGTCAGGATTCTTCAGAGAAACCGAACCATTAGGATTTATTATATGGAGTTGGCTCACACAATTATGGAAGCTGACAAGTCCCAAGATCTGCAGGATGAGCTGGCAAGCTGGAGACCTAGGAGGGACCAGTGTCCCAGTTTGAAGGCAGTTAGGCAGAAGGAAATCTGTCGTCGTTACTCAGGTGAGGGGTCAGCCTTTTTGTTCTATTCAGGCCTTCAACTGATTGGATGAGGCCCACCCACCTTAGGGAGGACAATCTGCTTTACTCAGTCCACTAATTCACATGCTAATCTCATCCAGAAACACCCACACAGACACACTGTGCTATTTTTGCAACATTTCTGTAAATCTAAAATTATTTTAAAATAAAAATTTAAAAAGGCTTTCTGCCATCAGGTATTATGAGGACTTTTGAATGATGGGAATTTTTATATTCTTTACATTCATAACTGTCCTGTATGTGTGTACACATATATAATTTTAGATCTGCCACTCAGCATTTTCCACAGATACTAAATTCCACCTATATTTTTGCAGGCACCTTTGAAAACACCTGATTTCTGTTCTCTTTTCCCTTTTGCGTTCTGTGTTCCTTCCTGACAAAAGCATCCTTTTGTAAACTTTCACAGCTCAGCCCTCCTGCTCTTCCATATGGTCTTTATCTCTGAGATTAAGGTCCATGTGGCACATTGTGGAGACCGAGAGCATCGGCCAGAAGTCAGGAGACCTGGTAGCATTCTCAACCTTGTTCCTTAGTCACTAACTCAGTGTCCTTCCAGTTTTAACATTTCGAAGCCAGATGGCGAATTTTGGCCAGACATTATATGCGCTATTTGATGTGTGGGTTCAAATGATTTTTTTAATCATTTTTTCTTTTTGTCAAAGTCCTGTGTGTTCTATTTCTAGGTTTTCCAAATTTTTATTCATATTTATGTTTCACATTTTGCCTTCAGTCTTTGGATTCTACAAGACTTCAAAATTTATGGACTTGACTCTGGCATTTCCCTTAGAGTCCTTTTGAGTAATTCAAGGACAGCAACATTTTCTTTCTCCCCCTCCCCCTCTTTTTTTGACCATGAAGCCATTGTTGCTCTTAAAAAAACACACACACACAACAAAAATCCTGTTTTCTTCTCTCTGAGGCTGTGAATAGCCCTTCTCATAGTGGTCCTGAAGCCCTCTCATGGCTTCCAGTGTGTGGGTAGACCTGTGTTTGGACTTTGAATGGGTTGAGCCTGGTACAATCCCACAGGGAGGACTGTTTGGCCACCTGGCCAACACCCCCTCCTGCCCTAGCAGGATGGCAGGAGAGCTCCTGTGCAGTTTCCCTCTGCCTGCCTGCGTTCACTTAATGCCAGCAGGGGTGCGGTGGAGGCATGGCGCCAGCGGGATGCACCCTCAGGAGTAACACCTTAGGAGTTGCTTCTTATGGTATCTGATTTTTCCTTATTATTTCTGTCCGGTTGGTACTTTCTCTGGATTCCCCCCAGTATTTGGATAATGGTGTAAGACTCAAATGATGGAGAAGTTGGTTGACAATAGGAAATAGCTAAGAACTCTAATGTGAATGACTTGATTGTCCTTGCCAGAAAAGGCAATTTGGTTAGGTTCAGCATATTGCCCTACTGTAGGGTATTTCTTGGTCTCTATGGCATATATAGGGGAAATGATTTTTAAAAATCACTTTCTGCTTCATTTGTGCTGTAACAGTTGTTACCTTGTGTTCCCACCTCCAGCCATTTCCCCCTCCTGTCTTTCCTGTGCATTGTCATCAGATACTCAGTTTCCTCAGCTTGTCACTCAAGAACGGTGAAAGGGGTAGATATTCCTAGAGTACAGCATGTAGAACCAGGCCAGGCATGTAGTAAATGTGGTATAAGGGTTTGCTAAATAAAAGCAAGAATTGACCCTTACTTTCAAAGAGCTAACAATTTAGCTGGAAAGATAAAATGCACACACACACACACACACACAGACACACACACACACACACACACACACACACACACACACACACACACACTGTGTATAGAGCATTATGGGAAAAATGTCACTCAAGAAGCCTGAGAGACAAGAGGCAGGATATATCTGCTGTGTGCTCTGCTCAAGTCACCTCAGTTATTCTTCTCATTTTATAGTTCAGAAGGTTAATAGGCATTAAATGCCTTAAAGTCCTATAAGGTTGTATGTGCAAAAGGGAGATGTAAACACAGGACTGTATGAACTGAAAGCTCCTGTTGCCACCAGAAAGCTTTGAAAGCAGGCTGGAGCTGGACCTTGACGGATGGATAGAATTGATTCGAGAGAAGTGGTGAGCACATATAAGTTGTGGGGGCAGAGAGAGGGTGCACAGCATGAGCAAAGGTGTAGCAGTTGGAGGCATAAATTGTGCTGGGGAATGGGGGTGGTCCCCAGGTTTGCTAGGATAAGGGAGGAATGAAGGATACAGCTGGAACATGGGTTGGAGGCAATGTATAATGCACTTTAAGTTCTAAGTTGAGTTTGGACTTCATTTTATAACTCATTTCAAAAGCCATGGAAGGTGTTTGAAAGGGAGTGACATGATTAAAAGAGTGTCTTAGGGCCGGGCGCAGTGGCTCATGCCTGTATTCCCAGCACTTTGGGAGGCCAAGGTGGGCAGATCACTTGAGGTCAGGAGTTCAAGATCAGCATGGCCAACATGGCGAAACCCTGTCTCTACTAAAAATACAAAAATTAGCCAGGCGTGGTGGTGGCTGCCTGTGATCCCAGCTACTTGGGAGACTGAGGCAGGAGACTCACTTGAACCTGGGAGGTGGAGCTTGCAGTGAGCCGAGATAATGCCACTGCACTCCAGCCTGGGCAATAGAGTGAGACTGTCTCAAAAAAAAGTCTTAGGAAGTTGATAGTGTCAGGTGGGATGTGGAAAGGACTGGAGAAAGGTAGGGGCTGTCATGAGTGCTAATGTACATTATGTCATTTTGTCCTCACAATAGCCCAAAGAAATAGAAACTCTTAGTTTCATCCCCATTTCCAGATGGGAAAACTGAGGCTGTAGAGGTTACGTGATGATCAGATTCCCACAGTGAATAACGGTGATGCCAGGATGTGAGCTAGGCAGCTCCATCTCCCCTAGTGCTCCCTCCATATGCAGTAGTGTCTAACAGTAGCCTGGGAGATGACTTGGGTCAGTTTTAATAGGTTGAGTGTGATAGTCCGGTGACAAGGCCTGGATGAAGTCAGTAGTGTGAAATGGAGAGATGGGAGCAGTAGTGTGAAACATCCTTTCATGGGATCGTGATGCCAGGGCTGAGCCTGTGACCTCATAGCTACTCTTTACTTATTGTTTTCCATGGAAGCTGATCCTCAGAGGTGAGAACTTTGCCAGGACCATGTAGCGTCATGGGAAACCTCACCTCCAAACCTCTTAAGGAGCTTAGGCTTCTTGTTTTTCCTGGGGAAATATATTTAAATTAATAATGTAAGTGCTGATGTTGGCTTTGCTTGCTTTGGGTTACTTTTGAGATGATTTAAGCAAACTTCCAGGTGTTCTTAAGCATCACAGGCTTTACTTGAGTTTGAGACAAGAAGGTTCCCAGAGGTCTGGTGGTGATCAGTTCTCCCTTTTTTCCATGAATGCCCTTCCTCATCTGCTTATTTTGGTATGTTCCCTGTGTTGCTGTTCTATGGGTTGATGTATCACATGATTGCTTAATTCATTTTACTTTTGTTCTATTTTTTTTTAAGCAAAAGGGTGTGCATGTATTTCGATTCTGCAAAGCTTTTTGGTATCAGTAAAGGAATATGTAATAGAATGTGCTAAATGCCATTGTGATGATGTGGGGCAGTGTGGGCCAGCCCATTGACTTCTCTGCTTTATTTACTGCAGGTGATAAGAAGTACATCATGGGGCCCAAGCTTTCCACTCTTGACGCCACTGTCTTTGGACACTTGGCACAGGCAATGTGGACCTTACCAGGGACAAGACCCGAACGGCTGATCAAAGGCAAGCCCTACACTCTTCTTCAGGTTTTGGGGCTTACTGGGGCTGGGTGGGCAGTGGGGTAGCACAGTGGAGAATTCTAGACCAATGCTTTCGTCTTGGGTGTGCTTTATGGAGACACCAGGCATGGTGTACAGGGCTAGGGTTGGTTCTCTGTACTCAGGATACTTTGGGGTGGAAGAGAGACTGGGCTTCTCACCTGCTGTCTTGCCCAGACTATGTTCTTAGCAGTGCTGACATAGGTCCTGCGATGTTTTTATGCTAGCGCTTTTCTTCCATCTGCTTACATAGTGGGACTTAAGATTTGTTGCTGAAATAGGGCTTGAATTCCACCTAGTGCCCTTGCTTTGCTGGTCTTCCTTAATTTCCTTTGGGCAATGGGGGCTCCCCACTTTCTGGTATATCCAGCTACATCAACTACGGTGGGCTGACGCTGATGAACTCACTGGCTGTTTCAGATGCTCTGAGTCTAAACTGTTTTTCGATGTTGCACATGTAACTGTAAGTACATAGGATTCTGTGCCATTTGCATTCAAGCCACTCTTTCCTCCTGTTCTAACAGAGTGGCTATAGATCATTCACTAAGAGTAGCAGAGCAGCCGGATGCAGTGGCTCACGTCTGTAATCCCAGCACTTTGGGAGGCCAAGGCGGGTGGATCACAAAGTCAGGAGTTCGAGACCAGCCTGGCCAATATGGCAAAACCCCATCTCTACTAAAAATAGAAAAATTACCTGGGCATGGTGGCATGCACCTGTAATCCTGGCTACTCAGGAGGCTGAGGCAGGAGAATCTCTTGAACACAGGAGGCGGAGGTTGCAGTGAGCCAAGATTGTGCCACTGCACTCCAGCCTGGGCGACAGAGCAAGACTCCGTCTTAAATTAAAAAAAAAAAGCAAAACTAGTAGAGCTAAAAAATTCAAGACTGGGAAAATGAAAATGTCAACAAATACTTTGTGAGTCTAGTGCTTTCCGAAGTATTATTATTATTATTATTTTTTATTTTTGAGACAGGGTCTTGCTCTGTCACCCAGGCTGGAGTGCAGTGGTGCAATCTTGGCTCACTACAACCTCCGCCTCCCGGGTTCAAGAGATTCTCCTGCCTCAGCCTCCTGAGTAGCTGGGATTACAGGAGTGCAACACCATGCCCGGCTAATTTTGGTATTTTTAGTAGAGACGGGGTTTTGCCATGTCGGTCAGGCTGGTCTTGAATGCCTAACCTCAAGTGATCTGCCCACCTCGGCCTCCCAAAGAGCTAGGATTACAGGCATGAGCCACCACGCCCGGCCGCCCAAAGTATTATTTATGTTAATTTTGACCAAAGAAACACAATCTTAGTACTTTTTTTGTGTAATGTGTACCTTGGATGTGAGGCCTATCAGAATTACAAGAGATATGAGAGGGGAAGCTAAGGAGCAAGGATACGTAGAACCAGTGCTAGGGGATGAACATATATGTGTGGGGTGGGTGTGGGGTTGTAGCCAGAAGTAAAATTCATGGTGGAAATGGCATACGGAAAGATAGCTCACCTTGGATTGATGTGCCAGGGACCAGATCTTGGGGTGTGTGTATGTGTGTGTGTGTGTGTGTGTGTGTGTGTGTGTGTGGTGGGGTAGGGTGGTGGGATATACAGATGGTTCCTGACTTATCATTGTTTGACTTATGATTGTTCAACTTTGAGGTTGTGAAAAACAATACTTGTTCAGTAGAAACTATACTTTGAATTTTGATCTCTTCCTGGGCTGTCCATATGTGTGGTGCAGTACTCTCTTCTGGTGCCGAGTGGTGGCACTGAGCCATAGTTCCCAATCAGCCATATAATCATGAGGGTAAATAACTGATACTGTATAGTGTGCTGTGTTGCCAGATGATTTTGCCTTACTGTAGGTTAATGTAAGTGTTCTGAGCACGTTTAAGGTAAGCTAAACTAATGTATGATGTTTGGCAGGTTAGAGGTGTTAAGTGCATTTTGGACTATATATATATATACACACACACACACACACACACACACACACATATACATATGTACATTTACATATACATATATATTTTAATGGGGTCTTGCTCTGTTGCCTAGGCTAGAGTGAAGTGACATGATTATGGCTTACTGTAATCTCAAACTCCTGGGTTCAAGTAATCCTCCTGTCTCAACCTACTGAGTAGCTGGGACTTCATGAGTGAGACATCATGTCCAGCTAATTAAAAAATTTTTTTTTAAAAATAAATGAGGTCTTCCTGTGTTGCCCAGGCTGGTCTTGACATCCTGGCCTCAAGTGATCCTCCTACCTCAGTCTCCCAAGTAGCTGAGATAACAGGTATGAACCACTGTGCCCAGCTGACTTATGATATTTTTAGCTTTCAATGGGTTTATGGAGATGTATCCCCACGTAAGTCGAGGAGCATCTGTATGTGGCAGCCAGGGCCTCTGGGAGAGGCTTCCCCTGCATAGTTGCATGGGAACTGTTTGAGGCAGTACCTAAGCAAGTGCCTGGGGGCCAGGGATGTGGGGATCAAAGTTCAATATTTAGGTTTGGGGAGGAGGGTTGACAAGAATTAATCAAAATGTTTATGCCCAACTGAGCAGGCTGGGTATGTAGATGAGAGACCAGTAGAATAGCACATAGAATGCTCTTAATAAATGTCGGATGGATAGCTGGATGGGTCAATGGATGGATGGATAAATGGATGGACAGATGGATGGGTGAATGGATGGATGGATGGAACCAAGCAAGGCAGAATCATACAAGAAACTGAGGCAGGCAAGCAGTCATGTGTGGTGGTCATGTAGATGGGTGGGGAAGTGGTGGAGCCTGCAGCTCTGTGTGTGTGTGTGTGTGTGTGTGTGTATGTGTGTGTGTCGATTCATGTGCATGCCCAGGAGGTTAGACCAGGCTGACGCCAGCAGCTCTCACTCTCCAGATCCTCTTATTGGTGGGGACAGAGCTCCAGATACATTATCAGACTTCATTGGAATGGGTCAGGCATTGATCGAAGGTTTTCTGGAAGTTCAGCTGGGTGGGACTAGGGATAGTATGGACTGTCATTTAATTTCCTAAATGGTCATTATGAGGATGTTCCTTGTTTTGCAATACATTGGAACTTCTCTAAACTAAATATGTTATCACATTGGTGAGGTTCGTGGCATTTAAAATATTAGTTTCCCTTTAATTTAATCACATTTTCCATAGTCGTCTAAAAGATGTTGATTCCTTTTAGTTCATTTAGGGCTGTGTTTTATATCCATTCTCTGTTCCTATTATTTCCTACTTTATTCCCTCCGTTCTCCTACCATACCACCCTTACACACCCACATGTATATACACACTCACATCTACTCACATGCTCTATACAACCCCCCACACACTCACTTGTACAGATATACCTACACTTCTACCCAAACACATCCCTACATACACACATATGTGTGTACATACACATACAAATGTGCACACACACACTGTTGTGGTCATCTGTTACTTAGTCTGAAGTATTTAGGGACCCCATTATCAGTAGAACTCACAGACTCTACAGAATTTTTTCTTTCAGAAATGATGCATTTTTTGTTGTGATTTGGCCCTTTTCTCTATTACTTCCTGAAAGGACTTGAGGCATTTAGTGTTCTTTTAAAAGAAATGATCAGCCTTTTGGAGGATTGATTTTGGGCCTCATGCACATCTGGGGAATCTGACACCATCATCTGCACGGGGCTTTTGGCACATTGTTGTATGTACTTTGATTCTTAAAGTAGCTTCCAGCTTTCCCTGGGTGCTGGTGTAGCATGAATTATTAAAGTCCACAGGGATCTCTAAATCCCATTTTAGGCATTAGTTCCATACCCCTTCTAAATCTTTGGAGGGGAGCTGATAACATGCAGCCAAACTACTACTGCTGTAATTTGCTCTCAACCTCTTTCCCTGCCTTTGCTGTCTCTGTGGTAGAGACTTTCTCAAGAAGTAACATGAGAAGGGTTAAGTAGAAACAAGTAGCCTGGAGATTTTAGAACTGGGTGAAACCCAGGCATGTAAGTGGCTCGGATTCAGGCAGTTTTCTGCTTTAGCTTTGGAACGGCAGAAGCACCACTGGCCTTGCCTCATTGTGAGTGTGTTTGGATGAATATTAGTTTTTTGGTCCAACATATTATTTATAAAGCCACACAAGCTACTTCTGGAACCATGTAGAATAGTATGAAGTTTTCCTTCAGTTAGATGAGCAGGAGGACAGGCTTTGAATATACATATGTATGCATATGTCTATCTAGATAGACATATAAATATGAATAATAATTTGCTTCCTGAAGAAAATTTAGAAAAGATAGAAAAGTTTTAAAAGAATAAAAAATAACTTGTGACACCATTTTTCACAGAGAACAATTGCTGATATTGTGGTATGTATGTAATCTTTTATCAAATGTAAGTATGTATATATATATTTTTTAAGCTGGGATCATAATGTTGATACAATTATAACCTAAAGTTTTAAAATTAACTGTATTTTGGCCATTTCCCTTGTCATGAAATATTCTTCAAAATGGTATTTTTAATAGTTGCATAATATCCTATCCTATGGCTATATGGTAATTTATGTGATTAATCTATTTCTGGACTTGTGGGTTGTTTTAAATAACTTTTACTAATATTCTATAGTGAATATTGTTATAAATATATACTCTTGCTCATCTCTGATTATTTCCTTAGGCTACATTTCTTGCTCGGTAATTACTGTCTCAAAGGGCATAAGCTCTTGGTCTACATGGCTAAATTGCTTTCTAGAAAGATTATACAATTTATATTCTCATGAGCAAAGTCTGAAAGTACTTCCAATTTTTGCTCCTTGATTAGGGTTGAATATAATTTATTTTGAAATTTTTGCCATTTTATACTGAAAAAAATCTCAGTTTTATTATTAGCAACATTCCTAATGTGGAGTTAGATTTGATATTTTCATCAGGGATCTTATCAGAGAATTGCATGTGGATTGGGGCACTCCTTAAAACAGATGTGGAGAGCTTAAGAAAGCTGAGAAAAGTGAAATTGAAGCCATGATGGGTCAAGAGCTCTGCAGCGTGTCTGCATGTCCTCCAGAGTCCTATCAAAACCACAGACCTTAATGCTATTTTCTGAATTAGGAGGAGCTCAACCTTCTGTGCTCTAGGAAAAACCTCATTCAGCAACTTTCACCAGCAATTATTTATTTTATTGAATGTCCTTTTTACTTAATACTTGATAGATTAAAAAGTGGAAAAAATGCTGCATCTCCTTGACCAGCATGTAAATATCTCCTCACTCCTGCACTCTTACTATTCTCCATCTGGAGGGAAGTGTTCAGGAAGAGGTTGTCGTGAGGAGATTTGGGTTTCAGGAAAGGGCTGGAACGAATTACCTTGGCCTGTTTTTGTATTTGGAGATCTGTGAATTAATATTTTTTAGCTTCGAGGAGACAAGGCAAAGGGGGTGTTTTCATTACAGTATTCAAGTATTTTAGGAACTTTTCTGAAGAGGATATATGCTCAGTGTCCTCCATGCCTGCATGACAGATGCTAAAAGGAGCAACCAAGGGTGTAGTCAGCGCCTAGCATGGATCTGGAACAGGGAGGTGCTGAGTAAATACCTGTAGAGCAAATGAGTGTGTTTGGATGTTGGCCTATGTTTTCCAAGTTATTGCTGGTTCGTGACCAAGGGCTGGCAGGTGCTGCTGCGAGACATTGGCATGCTTCTCTCTCACCCACATTCCTGCCTTGTATGATTGGCAGCTGGGAGAACCTTACTTCTGGATTCTGGGTTTGGTTGACAATGTTTTCAGCATCAAGTTGTACAGAATGTTTTGATTATTAGAGAAATTAGAGGAATACAGGAATATAAAATACATCACTTTATTTGAAGAGCAGGGAGGGCATTTCCATTTGAGAAACTTTAACAGAAAGGTTCTTTATTCTATCTGGGATTATCTTCTGGGTAGGGGGGCATTCGGCTTTCTGATAAATATCCTCTCAAGTTGTCTGAGAATATCACTTTGTTTCTTACCAATTGATTTTATTGGATTTTTAAATTTGAAAAGTAATACATGATGGTTACAGTAAGTTGAATTACAAAGGTATAGTTTAAAAAGTTTATGGCCTTCTCCTCATCCATGTCCAATATTATTTCCACAGAATAATCAATATTAAGGATTTAATGTAAATCCTTTTGTGCCTTTTTCATGTACAGATTTGCATAGCATATCTAGGTGTTTCAGTTTGTTTGTTTTCACTGTTTTTAAACTAAATGGAATTATACTATACACATTATCTATAACTTGTTTTTTTCACTTAACAGAATATCATATCATTTTAACAGCTTCACAATATTCTATAGCATAGATGCACCTTAATTTATTTCATCAATACCTATTGATGGAGATTCAGGCTGTTTTCATCATTTACTTCTCTTTTTTTGCTTAAAAAAGCTTCATTTGATATCCATGTACATATATCTTTACATACCACTGCTTTTATTATAGTTGAATAGAGTACTAAAAGTGAAATCCTGGGCCAAGAGATATGCACATTTAAATTTTTGATAGATAACATCAGATTACTTTCCAAAACAGGTTATAGCAATGTATGCCTCTGCCAGCCATGTAGTACAATGCCTGACCCTCCACATCCTCATCAGCATTGGATGTTATCAGACTTTTTTTTTTTTACCAGTCAAGTAGATGAAACTGTTATCCGATTGTTGAGTACACTTTGAAGAAATGCAGTTTTTCTATTATTTTGCAAACTTATGTCTTCTGTATAGGCTTTTTTTTTTTTTGAGATAGAGGCTCACTCTTATCTCCCAGGCTGGAGTGCAGTGGCAGGATCTCGGCTCACTGCAGCCTCTGCCTCCCTGGTTCAAGTGATTCTCCTGCGTCAGCCTCCCAAGTAGCTGGGACCACAGGCGCCTGCTACCACAACCGGCTACTTTTTGCATTTTTTAGTAGAGATGGGGTTTCGCCATGTTGGCCAGGCTGGTATCGAACTCCTGGCCTCAGGTGATCCGCCCACTTCAGCCTTCCAGAGTGCTGAGATTACAGGCATGAGCCAGTGTGCCCGGCCTGTATAGGCATTTATATTAACACAGGCTTATCACACACACACACACACACACACACACACACACACACACAGACACTCCACACAACCTGTTTCTGCTGCCAACTTTTTCTGTTCTTTTGTCCAGTAGCATGTTAAGTGGCTCAGCTGATGGTGAATCTAGCCACAGAAAGGGATAGGCAAAGCCAGAAAAAGATAAAACCCAACTATAGATGTCCACTCTCTGTTTCACTCTTTATCATGGGCAGGAATTGAGGAGTGTGTGGGCTCCCAGCTCTTGCTCATCAAAGCAAACCCTTTCTCAACTACATGTTGGAATGATCACTTCTTTTATGATAGCTCATTGCCATTAAGGGGTGGCACCTGTCTCCTCATAAGTCTTGAGACCTCAAGAATAATTACAGAAAAATATTCCATGACAGGTAGTGCAATACTATTAATTCCCAGGCCATGCTGTCAGCTCATCAGTAGAGAGTTGAGTGGAGGTGAAGGGCATGAGGACTAACGAGGTTAATATGAATTCAACAGGTGAGTGAAGCACTTTACATGCCTGGCACACAGTCAGGACTATGTAACTGTCTGCTATTATGATTATTACTTTTTATTATTGCATACTGAAGTGGTATTAATGTCACATGATCACAGAGCAGACACCTCTTCTGGAGAAAGGTGAAGAAACAAGCCTGTAGAAAGAAAGGCCATCAATGAAGTGATATTCATAGATCCTGTGGATCTTGTGAATAGATTCTGATTTTCTGTAGGAAAAGCTAGTAAGGAATGGATTTGATTGAGTCAAACAGGGCTGTCCCCAGGTCCTACTGTGAAGTGACTGTATTTCATCTTTGATGTCTCTTTACCTCCCCAATTAGATATTTTTTTTTTCTCTTGCTGCTGCCCTCACATCTTTATTCAATTCTTGGTCCCCTGGGATTGGCAGCAATACCTGGTGAGGCGTTTCATGACTGTCCCCATAAGGGAGAAAGTAAGTGAAGGTTTTCCATGCTGCATCTCCTCAAAAGGAGCAATGGTGTTGACTTCTCAGTTTCTGGCTCCTGAGCATGTGCACAGATATCTTCTAGAAGAGAATAGATTTTTACATAGTGGGGGTTGAGCTGTTATAATTTGAGAAGACTGGAAATGGTGACCTGGAGCCAGTACATGTCCATGGGATCCATGAAGCAGGGGGATTTGCTTTGTTATGTTTTGCAGGGGATGTAAGTAAAACAGCAATCAAGTTTTGAAAAATTTTAACATGAGAAAATGTTTACAATAATGTTACAGGAGATAATATGTAATAATAATGGCAATAGGTAAATAGAAAAAATACTGAAAGAAGTTACACCAAAATGTTAATTGTGATTATCTTGGATCGATGAAATCATGGGTACTTTTTGTTTTCTTCTTTATGTATTTGTACAGTTTGTCTATACAGACTAATTCTAATTTTCCAAAATGAGAATATGTTATTTTCCTTAACAGAAAAATAAGATAGAGTAGTGACAGACTATAATCAACAGAACCATTAATATGGAAACAACCTAAACGACCTGTGATAGGGGATTCATAAAGACAAACTGAAGCTATGGTACAGCCATATAACATAGTGTGCACTTATCACTGTGATCAGAGTGTGACATTCAAAGATTTTTATTATACGTTGTTAAGTGGAAAAACATAGGATAGGAAAAAGAATATATAGTAAATCCTATATAGCACATGTAAATATATGTAAATGTATATGTAAATATGTACCTTTCTGGAAGAACATAAATGAAAATGTTATGGGGAATGCGATTATTGGTAATGCTTTTATTTTTTGCTTATCTGTTTTTTCTAATTTTCTGCACTAAAACATGGATTGTTTACACAATAAGTGAATGTTTATATAACTCAAATCCAAAGACATTCTTAGAGTAATAATGTCCTATAAGAGATAGTAGCAAATCATATATTTATAAGCAATGTTGCCATCTGCTGGATCACAGGGAGAAACTCACCCTCTTTCTTTTTCATTTGGAATTAGGAAATGAAGGCCAGGTAGAGTGGCATGTTTCAGACAAATGCCTAGACAGTAATAGTGACTTAACACAAGAGTTCTTTTGATTCACATAAAAAAGAAGTAATCTAGTGACCGAGTGGGACCCGGATCCTGAGTACCGCTGTTCAATTTCATGTAAAAATTTAAAAATATCTTATACTAAGTGTGTTTGCAGGCACACTTATCCATAAAGACAATTCTGAGTTATCCATTTTATGGATTTTTTGGGGGGAAAGGTTTATGTCCTAACATAACTTTTTTCAGCTGCTTGGCATGGTACTCAGCCCACAGCAACACTGCGAAAATTTGTGGAGTAAATGATTACTTCTGGCTGACTTAATGCAACCAACAGTTTGACGTATTTTTATGGAATATAAATTAATTTATATATGAACCAATCACAGCATTAGCTCTCTTGATATGTAAACATAAAATAATAAAATGCTTCCTAAAGCCAAATGATGGTAGTTTATCTGCCATTTTGGATAAACTACCTTGCCACTTCTCATCATCATCGGACTCACTTCTTCATTTCATTCAGCACACTCACTGAATGTAACTTTTCTCACTCACCGTTTTTATTATGTGCATAAAAACCTAAATATTTTCACAGTATCTCTATGGAAAAATACTGTTAATGTTTACCTTCCCCGTTATTCCAGTTTCCCAGAAAGCCTAGTGGCTGGATGTCATAGTTTGGGCCGCTGTTGCAAAATGCCATAAACTTGTTTGCTGGTAAACAAGAGGAATGTATTTCTCACAGTTGTGGAGTCTGGAAAAGTCTGGGAAATGCAGGATCATGGTGGGAAATGCAGGATCACGACTCTGGCCCATTCAGGATCTGGCGAGGGCCTGCCTGGGGGAGGGACCACTTCCTGCTTCCTGGACACAGTGCTGTCTTGCTGTGTCCTCACATGGTAAAAGGGGGAAGGCAGCTCTCTCAGGCCTCTGTTATGAGGTACTAGTACCACGAATGAGGGCTTGGGCCTCATGAACGAACCACCTCTTAAAGGCCCCACCTCCTTAGACCATCACATTGGGAGTCAGGATTTCAACATTGGAGTTTTGGGGCAACACAGACCATAGAAGTGGTAGACTGCTGCCTTTGAGAACTAATCCTTGCTTTCCTTACCACACTGCAGGTGAGCTGATCAACCTTGCCATGTACTGTGAGAGGATAAGGAGGAAATTTTGGCCAGAGTGGCACCACGATGATGACAATACCATCTATGAGTCTGAGGAGAGCAGCGAAGGCAGCAAAACCCACACCCCGCTGCTGGATTTTAGCTTTTACTCAAGGACAGAGACCTTTGAAGATGAGGGAGCAGAAAACAGTTTTTCCAGAACCCCAGACACAGATTTTACTGGACACTCACTCTTTGATTCGGATGTGGACATGGATGACTATACAGACCACGAACAGTGCAAGTGACGTCCAGCCTCACTGACCCTCTTCCTTGGGACCTGCCACTCCCTGGGTCGGTCCATTTTCCCAGGTAGCAATCCATCCGAGCTGGGAGGAGATCTTCGTGCTTGGCAGAGTTTTCACATGCTAACTGGACTATAGCAGCCTTATTTCTTTTTTGTACAAACAAAACACAGAACCATTCAGATGACTCCATTGAAAACAAACAGGCAAAAAATAATGTCAGCATGGTTCCTGAAATCCATTTTTGTTTTCATTAGAAAACTATTAATAATATTGTGTGGTAGAGCAGGTGTAAGAGCTGGTTGTCAGCTGATAGTTTTTATGATGATCCTCTTCAACCCTGAGGTCTTAATTGTGAGATGGATTCTTGAACCTCCTTCCTCCACCAGGATTTGAAGTAATGAGAGATATCATCAGAAAAATGTTTTACGGTGGCTGCTTGTACTTTATGTGTGTATATTGTATGTTGAGACATAAGTCAAATAAAATCCACAGATATTAAACGAACACCTACTATGTGCAAAGCACTGTGCTAGGTGCTAATCAGTATACATTTTATTCTAAGCCCTGCCAGTGACTAGCTGTGTGATTTTGAGCAAATCTCTTATTAACTATTGGGTGCCTCATTTCTCCCACCTGTAAAGTGGGGATGACAATACTCTCCACCTACCTACCTCACAGGGGTGTTGTGGGGATTCATGTGGTAACATTCGTACGGCGCTTTAAACCTCTTAGAAGTGGTGCGACATAAACACAGCATTTTATTCTTTATTGCACTTCATGCATGTGAAGATTTGAGGGCAAAGGAATTCCATATCCAGGCAACCACCACCACAGTCACCTGCAAAAGCTGAGCAGATGAAATACACACAAAGGTACACTTAGGACTTTGTCATGATTCCTTTCTGTAATCTTGGCTGAATCAAAATCTTTTGTTCAAAGAACATTGGAAATGTTTTTACAAATTATCGACAGCTACAAACAGTCTTCAATTCTACCATGTATTTGCAGAAAAGTGGTTCTTTCATTGCCTGAACTCACCCTGGCATGTTCTGTGTTGACTCCAGAGTGTTACGTTGCCTATGTTTGATTTATTTGAGAAGAATAAATCTCAGGTATATGGCAGGTTTCATAGAGTTGAAGGGAAAGTATTTCATTGATTTTTATAAGCAGAAGCCTGCCAACTTGTAATGTCTTTTTGAAAACAAACCTTGCAAAGATGTATTGAAAAGATGAAGTAGCAAGAGGATACTTGTATCAAAGCACTCTGTGCAGTGTTAGACTATATGCAGTTTTATTAATGCAACTTTTCTGGTGTTTTCAGCCACTGCCCAGTGAGAGGAGAGCAATGCTGAGAACAAGTCTTAATGTTTTTGCTGTCTCATCCCCGTTCTCTCTCTCTTTCCCTATAGTATTCGATGAACTGTTGGCTTACCCATATTTGTGAAGGCACCCTATTTCTAAAGATGAAGTTGTTGTTGTTGTTGTTGTTTTGACTTAGGACATTTTCCAGGGAAATATGGGGCAGAGATCCTGGGTGATGGCTGTGAGATTTGGGCTAGGAGAGCCAAGATTTACAATTGCAAACAAAACTGCTTTGCTTCTGACCAACATAAGGATTGCTCATTATGGGGTTAAAGAGGCACTTCTTAAAATACAGCAACTTCTGAGAAATCCATGCACTTTACTTGAAAAAAAAAAAACCTCTTTTTGAATATAGCATTTGCAAAACAATCTTAAAAGACTGCTGTAGATTCACAAAGAGGTAAAGGGAGGAGAGTTTTTCAGACTGCTTACCACTTAAGCAATTGTGTAGGGCATATGTAACTGGGAATACGTGCTGAGATACCCTAAGTTAGAAATTCTTATTCCATGGGAAACTTAGTTGTTAATATCTTATTAAAACCATTCTTATTTAAAGGGACTGTTTGATGCCTAATAAGAATGTGGTGGAGAAGATATGAATGGATAAGCCTGTTTGAGGCTGCAGCATCATTTGGGAGGACTGTTTGCCTCCCCTCTCTCTAGCAAGTGTGTTTTAAGGCCAACTGGTGGCATTTCTGTGTGACTAGGGAGACTCCTGGACTGAAAATATGAATATAATGAACAGGTGGACTGCAGACCTGTCTCCACAAAGCATGGGTTGTCCTTTTCCCACCACATTTTAGTAGAAAAGAAATGTATTTGAATTTTTTTCTATGAACAATCTATCTTACTGTACAGTACCAAGTGTGATGTATTTTCTCTCAAAGGATGATTAAGTTATGAGAATGTAGATTAATATATGTTTTTAATTTTATATTACTTGGAATACAAGTATGTGGAGAACCAACTTTGAAAATGAAGTTGTAAAATAAGTCATTCCATCCAGGTACCTCTTACAGGGGCATGAATGGACATTGCTATCTGGAGTCTTGGGCAATTGCCTGACAGCATATAACTGGGCATCAACATTTTGTAGGTGTTAATTTGATTTAGAGCCCTAGAATATGCCCCTGCTTTACTTTCCCAAGGCGGGTTATGCAAACAAAATAACCAAGACAAAGTCACCATAGTGTGAGTCTTTATCCGGAAGGATTTAATTTTATGTGCTTCATTCTTAAGCTACCCAGATTTGAAATGTTCTCCAATTTCATGAACAGGTGCTAATTATAGGAAAAAACTATAAGAAGTTAAGGGACATTTTGGTCATCTGGCTTCTTGTTCAAGTTCTGTGTTTCCTTTTTGCTGGAAGGTAACTTGAAGTATGTGATCTTTAATGTTAACAGATGCTTTTGGTTGGACAACAGACCCATAGGCTATTCGTTCTTTTTTTCCTGTCATTGTAAAAGTAAATCAAGCTCTTGCATCCACCTCTCTTTGCCCATCTGTACCCCCACTCAACAAGATTAATGAGCAGAATCATTGAGCTTTACTCTCCATCAGAACAGATATAAGGACAATCTATATTTATGCAATGATGAACTATATTGTCAGCATTTACCAATTTGTTGTTGTTACATAATGAATTGTAGAAAGTGACACTACCAAGGCTGTGGGCTACCCAGGAGACTAATCACGGACCTGGAACAACTTGGACTTGAATCAGACTGCAGTCTACTCCTCAAGTGAGCCCTGCCCATGTATACTGTGGTGTTAGGGTATATTTTTGTGAAATAGCTAAGGTTCAAGGAACAGACATACTAAGGATTTTGGCCTTGTGGGTCTTGCTTAGATTTGTTTGAGAGATAATGTAGAGTCATAGAAATGTATAGCTGTGCTAAAAATTAGCTGTAGAAAGCACCTTATTGGCTCAGTGTCACATACATACTTATTTGAAGGGCAGGACCAAAAACTGAGGTCAATATGGTTCTTTCCATTACACCACGTTGCCCTTGATGGTTTCTTTCTATTATACCACCTTGCCCTTGATGGTTCTTTCCATTATACCACTGTGGCTTTGTTGTCTTATAAAATGCATGTTACCTGAGAAGTCACCCTGTGTTCAGACAACCAGCACATCTCCAGCCATTCCCTGGTTGGAATCCTACTTCGCTTTTGTCCATGTCCTGTCAGCCTGGTCAAGACCAATACAAGAGACCTCTCATCAGTGCAGGGTATTGCTAGACTCTGAAGAATAGCAAGATGGATTCCCAAATCACCAAGACTCCTCATACTTCCTTATGTATCTTTTAAAGAACCCATGTCCATTCCCTCACTTGCTGAATATTTACAGAGCACCTACCCTGTGCCTGGCCCTGGGATCTACACTGGTTGTAGAGTGGCAAATAGAACAGCATAGAACTCTGATTTCAGGGCATCCTCTTTTGCCTAGACTTCTCTAGCCTCTTTTACGTACTTGGCCATTTCCCTGTTCCATTCCATCCACTACAAATGGATTAATCTTTCTAAAAAGCTCTTTGGCCCTGATGGGGTGTGGCATTGCCTCAGGGTGAGGGGCTACTCCTTAGGGTCTGGTGTTTTCACCTTTGTTCACCTTGTCTCCATAGCTCCTCCATGGGAGCCATCCAGTGCAGCCAGGTTGATCCATTTGCCATTGCCTAAAAAAGCCTCATGTGGCCCACCTCTGTGCCTCTGCTCATGCCAGTCCTTCTCCTGAAATGTTCTATTCTCTGCTCCACTGGCCCAAGTCATGCCCATCTCTCAAGGTCTGACTTCGTCAGCTTCACATGAAGGCTTCCCAGCTGATTATAATCTCTTCCTTTGAAAATGAAGCACTCATCACTTCCTTCCCTGAAGGTTGCATGGGAAAGATGCTCAGAGAGTGAGTCACATACCATTAAATAGTGAATTTTCACTTTTTGTTTGTCAGGAACTCCACTGATAATCCAACGAAAGTTCTATACCCTATTCCCAGAAAAACACATATATGCAAATACATAAAATGTTACATATAAATTCAGGAAATTTAGAGACCTCCTGAAATTATCCATGGTTTCCTCAGGGGGTTAATGGACCCCAGTTAAAGAGTCTTGTTCCCAAGAGTCTTTAAATGTTATCATTGTGTTTGTTCTTGTTTTTAACACAGCCAGAGAGAAGAAAAATTAGTACAGGCTATGCAAGCAAAAGTAATCTCTATTATCCATGTTCAGTATGTCTTGAGTGACAGAAAAGAAGAAAGAAGTGCTCTTAGGTTATTTGAGAAAATTTTGTTTTAGAGGTTTGGAATTTTGAAAGTCATAGGATTTTGTTGTTGTCCTTGTCATTTATCTTTTAACCACCCCCAAAATTGATTTATCAAAATGAGTTCAGGGCCAAGTGCGCTTCCTTTCAGCCCTGAAACCCACCGCTTCTGCATGGATAGGGCAACCAGCCTGGGCTGAAGGTGGGAGAGAAGAGGCTGGATTTTTCTTCCTTAAAGAAGAAAGGTCTGCACAATCAGGTTTTCCTGTATTCATTTATTCATTCATTCATAGAACAATTGTTGAGTGTATTTTCAATAAAAGGTTGGTGGCTTTTGTTGATAGGGAACAACTCAGGTTATTCTTCTTTCTTTCTTTTAGGGTTTTTTTTTTTTTTAAACAGAGTATGTTATTTTATTGTTCCTGACTATGACCCAGGATCCTTTGTTCTCCTTTATATGCAGTGCTATTTAAGTCAAACTAGAACTGATAAAAGTACACTCAATGACGAATACTTCCCAGGCTAAATGCTGGGCTCTGGGAACCCATCTTTAACAGGTCCAGGGATCAATTGCATGTGATTGTGAAGTGCTTGACCTTTATTCAGTTGCTTCCAGTGGTCTGGATATAACTTGGGAAGTTCAAAAGGATTCCCTTGTTGGGTGAGGAGGGACGGGCCTCTTACCTGTAAGACTCTTGCTACTGTCAGGCGTGGATGCGAACATCTGTGGCATGTTTTCCTCATCTGAATTCCTTACCCAGAAACTCAGATTTTTGGTCCCTGACTTTCAAGAATATCTTAAGGATATTTAAGTTTCCTTAATCTTTGAGATGAGACTGCTGGAACCAGCAACGTTAGCCTTGCCAGTTAGAGATGATTACAGAGGGCACTGAAGCATAGATTTAAAAAAAAGGGGTTCAGCTGTTTTGGAGCTGACAGGGTGACCTCCTCAACCATTCTGCTTTCGCCGAAGCAAGGAACTTGTCCCCAGACCTAGACCCTCTAAAACTCCTGCTATTGGCTGGACCATGACAAACTAGGATGCTCAAATTTCATAAGGATGATTGCCTTAAATTGTAAAATTGGTAGACAAATAAAGGGGACCATTGCAATAATAAAACGAATAACCTACAGATATGGTCTAGCAGCACCAAACTGACCATTTCAGTAGGAAAACAAGTAATCTGGAGTAAAAGATGGATACGGTACTTTGGTGTTCTGTACACAATAATTTTAGCAAAGAATTTAATGGCCATCATGCATTTTTGAAACAATCCACTAACCATAAAGCAATATATGTGTATCATAATCAGTTAACTTTATAAAAAGTTGTGCTACTAAATGTGACTAATTCACCTCCCACCCCCCATTGGCATGCATTTATTTTTATTTATTTGTTTTTATTTGTGGCTCTGGAATAGAGTAACTTTCACTTATTAGTAATGCTTAAGCTTTTTTCCTTATTTAATACCTTTTTTGTTTTTAGTTACCCCATGGCTTCTAAAAAAATAAGATCCAACTTCTGAATTGCCATGTTAGTTAATGGTGGCTAAACAGATAGCAAAGGGAATATAATATAATTGTTCATTGAGGGCTAAAAAAGAGGAATGCTCTGAATATTTACTGTCTTCCTCCTCTTTAAAAAATAATCAATGACTTTCCTCTTCCATTGTTCAGAATCAGAAATGTTCTTTCGTATTTGCTTCTCTTCTACAAGAGATTATATTTGGCTTATTAAAATATAAACCATGTCCAAATGATTGTATTTTTATCTTTAACAAATTATGCCTGGGATTTGTTTTTTACAGAAATAAGGCTAAAGGCTTCTGCTTCAGTAGGGGTGACATGTTTACTCCTGTAAAATGATTTTAATGTTACTCCTGTCAAAATGATTTTATTGCAAGTAATAAGTCTTGTGGGATCAGAACAAGCTTATTGTAAACACATGTTTTTTTCCCAGTGATCTACATCATGCCAAATGTCTGACAACTCAAATGTTGATGACAGCGATGGTTTTTCCATGGTGAAGTTTGGAAAACTGAGGGTCTGAGTCCCTCATTTGGTGGTATTAGAATTTAACTGAGTAGGAGGAGAGAAGAAAACAGTAACAAATGTCAAAATTTCAAGCAACCATGTGGTATGGCTGTGGTAGAGATGTATCAGGCAATTGAAAGTTTTCTAGGTGGTGCCATCTTGCTAAAATAATAAAAAGTACAGGTTTATAAATCAAAAACAAGTGCAATCTATGTAGGGAAGGATTGTCTATGGATATACAAGTGGCCAGTGCAGGAAGTGAAGTAACATTTATCTTTATCTTAATTTCTATGCTCATGTCCCCCATTCCCCTTCTGAAGCCAGGCCTGGGACCTTAGATAGCAGCTTAGAGGGTCTGGCCCTGATACATTTACTCCTTTAATTTTGGAATTTCCTTCTAGTCTCTCAAGAGTGTTTGTGGCATATATTTTTCATTTTATAAATATAAAATTGTACAAAGTAATGTACATTTTGTTTTAGAGAAGTCTTTTAAATGTTTGCAGACAGCCCAGATCGTCCATCCCTATTTAGGCAGTGGTCTCCAAACGTTTATGTTTATTCACCCTATTAGTAAAACTTTCTGAGCATGCCCCTCCATGTATTTATTTATGATATATATGTATATATGTATACACTGCTATATATGTATATACTGTTTTACTGATGTAAACATTAAAAACCATAGCAAACATAGACATTTTAAAAGTATATTTTCTGGTCCTCAATGGAGTTTAGAGAATGGGACAAGGAGTCTTTAGGCGTAGCACCCAGATGCCTGTAATTGATTAGAGAATGTGTATATACCATTTGTGGCAAAGCAGATATAAAACAGGCATGGACGCATGATTTTAGGTCAAGGTATTTAATTATTTTTACTTAAAATAGGCATTTTTGGTTGGGAAAGAGAAGGATGAACAATTTGATGTCACCTTTAAGACTGATGTTTTTAATTCTGCTTTTGGGACCACTTGATCTAGAATGCCTTGAAAATTCCAGAAAGATTTAACAACACACTGAGGTAAGCAAAACAAGAAAAGAAAGTAGGGGTGAGGTGATACCCAGATAATGCAAATGCAGGATGTATTGTCTGTGAATTTCAGCATCAATCTGAAAAACATGTTTTGATAATGCCTGATAATTCATCATCTCACTGATTACATGTCTTTTTTTCTATTTGTTTATAATCTTGTGTCTTCAAATGTGTGGAAGATGTGCAGACTTATTTTTAGGTATCTGAGATAGGAAGGGCCAATGTTGGCATAATTTGAACCCACATTTCGGGGCTAATGGGCGGACACCACCTGGAAACACTTACCTGCACCCTCTGTTTTGCAATCACAATGATTAGCATCTTGCTGAATGATGACCCCAATGTGAAGATGGCATTTCAGTGTTTATTTCTGGATCTATGAGTTACTTTAGCAGAGTTATTAGTAGTTTATAAAGCCATATTTAAACTTGTACACTTGATTGTAAGATAGATTTGAATTGTGCACTATGTTGACTACTGTATATAAATGTGGAAATTCTGTATATTTGGTCTTAATGCTATATGTATTTGATGTGTAAATGATAACTAATGGATATGAAATAGTTTTCTGTGAATGTCTTTCTTCCAATTTACTTCTCTTTTGCAAATTTGAATGTTTAAACTTCAGGCTCATGGGGAAAATCTGAAATGTTTGCATCTAATATACTGTTAAGTGGTGGTCTCTTAGATGACTGGGAGAGTATTTTAGTTGTAAGGCTCTTGTATAATTAAAACAGAGGTAATGAATTTTTTAGGCATATAACTTTGATAGAATTTCAAGTGAGTGGCTTTTAAGAAGAAAAACAGATCTCTGGAATATGCTGTCCCATCCTCTCCTGCTTTTATTTCATGCCCAGTGTGCCTCAGAGTGTTACGAAGTGTGAGAACCACTGGTAGAGAGAAGACAAGGAGGAGAGGGAGAGCTGGGAGCACATGTTGAGACCTTTACTATGGCTAGGCCTTATAATAGACCAATTTCCCCTTGTATAAATATTGTCTCAATTAGGCAGGGTGCAGTGGCTCATGCCTGTAATCCCAGGACTTTGGGAGGCCAAGGTGGGCAGATCACCTGAGGTTGGGAGTTTGAGACCAGCCTGACCAACATGGAGAAACCCTGTCTCTACTAAAAATACAAAATTAGCCGGGCATGGTGGTGCATGCCTGTAATCCCAGCTACTTGGGAGGCTGAGGCAGGAGAATCGCTTGAACCCAGGAGGTGGAGGCTGCAGTGAGCTGACTTTGTGCCATTGACTCCAGCCTGGGCAACAAGAGCAAAACTCCATCTCAAACACACACACACACACACACACACACACACACACACACACACACATATAGTCTCAATTAGTTTTCATACCTCTTCAATAAAGTAATTATTGTTCCCAAATTACAGATGAAGAAAGACGTTTGGGATGATAAACTGGCATATGGTAATATGGCCATGATATGCTCAAGTCTTTAGGGTCAGAGATTCACAGCAAGATTTTGGAAATTCAAATCTTACTATGAAGTGATTCACACATGTGTATGGTAATGAACCTTAAAGGATAGCTGGGCCTATAGGCATGTCAAGATCTATAGAGACATGCAGGATGTTTCAAATTCTATCTTAAAATTTGACCAAATCTTTGGTCAAATAATAATACTGTTACTCAAATATTAGCTTTTTACCATTTAGAGCAAATTACAATCAGGTAACATTCAAAATTCTAACCCTCCCTTCCCAACATGGGAATATCTATTAAGTAGGAAATGAGAGAACCCCCTAATTTCCCATTTCAGTGATAATACTGATTGAGTATCTCTTATCTGAAGTGCTTGGGACCAGAAGTGTTTTGGATCTGGGTTTTTCTCAGATTTTGAAATATTTGCATTATACCAGTTGAGTATCCCAAAATCAAAACTGGAAATCTGAAATGATCCAATGTCCGTTTCCTTTGAGTGTCATGTTAGTGCTCAAAAAGTTTTGGATTTTGGAGCGTTTCAGATTTTGGATTTTTGGATTTGGGATGCTCGACCTGTAGTTTGGTTTTCATCTTTTTAGACTCCATTTCTCTTGACCTATAAATCCTATCAGCCCTGTTTATTAACATAGACCCTAGTCAGAAATACTTTGAAATAGATCTACATCTACTTCAACGTCAGTTGGTTCCACACCCTTCTAGAACTTGTGTGGGGTCCTGGACTTCCCGTCTGTCCTGTTAGGGAAGCTTTGCTGTCCTAGCTTTCAGGACTCATCAGAGGGAAGAGGGTCATTTACCTTTCCAATGTGCTGTGATCTCAGAGTCGTTAAAATACATGTTTTGCTGCCATTTGTACTGTTTCTTGACTCAATGTTTCATATTTCTGTTCTTCTTTCCTTTTAGAGGAGAGGCGGAACAGCTGGTCTCCCTGCTCTCTCAGAAGCTGCTTGATTTGTTTCTAGATGACGCCACTGGCAGGCACTCATTAGATCTTTCACAGCTGGGCTGGTTCCCATTAGCAACAGACTTTTCTTTTAAAAACTGTCAAGGTCAGAGCAGCTTATCCTTTGGATAAAAGTGGATTTTGGAGGAAAAAAAAAAGAGGAAAAAGAACCAGCTTCCTTCCTTACGGAATTAGCGTGTTGCTGCCCCGTATGCCTAAGAGGTCTATTTTAGTGCCAGCGTTCTTGTTATGAAGACTTAGGGGGTCGTCTCCAGTGGAGGGACTGTTCGGATTGGAGGGTTACGTTCACCTACCGCAGGGTATGTTGGGCCTGGGCAAACACACTGGGTAACCTGTGCTCAACATTATATACAGGTAAATCTGGATGAAAACAAACATGAAAGGCAGCTCCGGAAGGGCAGAGGGTTGAGGGAGGGGCTGAGTGTGGGAGGGGGCAGGCCCAGGCCCCTTCCCCACTCTACCTGTTTCCAGGCATTGATTGTATGGGGACCTGGCTACCTCCTTCTCCACTGTCACAGGCCTCCTCCCAACTTTAGCTTGGGATTTCAAAGGAAGATGGTGGAAATCCTGTGTGACTGTCAGTCAAAAGTCAAATAGTCCTGATTCACTGGTGGCACAGCTTGGGAAGGGGGGTAAGTGAGGAGGAAGTATGCAGGGCCAGATTCTACGGAAGTCATCCCTTTGGAGTGAGGAGGGTGTTTGAGCAGGGGACTAACACAATGGGAGAGTATTTAAATAAGATTCATCTGAGGACATCCTGGATATAGTCAGAGAAGAGGCCATGGCGGAACAATGAGACCTGCTGATTCCTGGGGCTCAGAGTGAAGCTAAAGGCATGCAAGGGAGAGGGGATGGTGGAGATAGGGAGAGGGAGAGAGCAGCCACATGCACAAGGAAACACTGAGGCTCCTGGGATGTGAGGAGCAGCAGTGGAGAGAGAGATGATGAAAATGAAGGTAATGCTTAGGCTCCTACCCCAGGAGACTGGGGATGTAGTGATGCTGCTGTCAGACATGGGAAATGTGGAGGAAGGGGAATGGGTTTGCAGGGAAAATGGAGTTTCGTTTTAGTCACACTGAATTTGAGGATCCAGTAACAAATCACAGGCCTAGAACTTGTGCTGGGGTAAAGTGAAGCCACAGCCTATGAAGGGATAGTTAAAGCAAATAAGCTGGAGAGCTAGAGACAGAATAAAAATTACTAGCACCTTATATTTGTATTATGTTTAATTGTCTTTAAGATATTGTAACTCCTGGAGCATGTCACTATCATTTTCTTATAAAAAATGAGGGGGCCTGTAGGTTGATCTTTAAGATACCTTCTAGCTCAAACCTCCTTCCATCCTCCCCTGAAGTTGAGTACTACTTCTCTATAAACACTAATTCTACCTCCTGCTTTGCTGATTCTCATATCAATGAAGAGTTTATTGACCAAATCAACTAATAATAGCTAACATTTACATATCACTTACCAAGTGCTAAACACTGTGTTCCTTGCAAGCTACATATATCAACTCATTGAATTCTCACAACAACAAAATAAGTGCTATCATTGTTACCATTGTCATTGTCACCATTATCACCATCATGTGGCTCCATCGTCATCACCACCATCACCATTGTCACCATCACCACCACCACCACGACCACCACCACCATCCTCACCGTCACCATCACCATCATCATCATCATCTCAACAGATTAGAAACTGAGGCAAAGTGAGGTTACATAACTCACTGGAGATCTCATGCCAAGTGAACAACAGGGCTGGGGTTTGAAAGCAAAGAGTCTAGGTTTAGGAATGTAGCTTTTACATTCTGCACAATACTAGGTCTACACCACTCTATCTCTTCTGCTATCAGACCACACAGAAGGTAGAAGGCTGTGAAGATTGGGAGGTGCTTGTGTTGAACCAGGAGTGATTTTACTTCATCAACTTTTGTTAAATCATCCTCACTTCGTAATGCAGGGTTTGCCTTCTTACAGAACCCATGCAGATCTGTATCATTGAGAGGTGAAGCCGGCTGGGCTTCTGGGTCAGGTGGGGACTTGGGGAACTTTCTGTCTAGCTAAAGGATTGTAAATGCACCAATCAGCACTCTGAGTCTAGCTAAATGTTTGTAAATGCACCAATCAGCACTCTGTAAAAACGCACCAATCAGTGCTCTGTGTCTAGCTAAAGGTTTGTAAATGCACCAATCAGTACTCTGTAAAAACGGACTAATCAGCACTCTGTAAAACGGACCAATCAGCGCTCTGTAAAATGGACCAATCAGCAGGACGTGGGCAGGGCCAAATAAGGGAAAAAATGCTGGCCACCTGAGCCAGCAGTGGCAACCCGCTAGGGTCCCCTTCCACACTGTGGAAGCTTTGTTCTTTCGCTCTTCACAATAAATCTTGCTGCTTCTCACTCTTTGTGTCCACACCGCCTTTAAGAGCTGTGACACTCACTGTGAAGGTCTGTGGCTTCACTCCTGAAATCAGCGAGACCATGAACCCACCAAGAGGAATGAACAACTCTGGACGCGCCACCTTTAAGAACTGTAACATTCACTACGAAGGTCTGCGGATTCACTCCTGAAGTCAGCGAGACCATGAACGCACCGGAAGGAATGAACAGCTCTGGACGTGCCACTTTTAAGAGCTGTAACACTCACTGTGAAGGTCTGCGGCTTCACTCCTGAACTCAGCAAGACCACAAACCCACCAGAAGGAAGAAACTCTGGACACATCTGAACATCTGAAGGAACAAACTCTGGACACACCATCTTTAAGAATTGTAACACTCACCGCGAGGGTCTGCGGCTTCATTCTTGAAGTCAGCAAGACCAAGAACCCACTGGAAGGGACCAACTCTAGACACATTTTGGTGACCCAGATGGGACTATTGCCTATCGCCAAGCAGTGAGTACCATCAGACCCCTTTCACTTGCTATTTTGTTCTATTTTTCCTTAGAATTTGGGGGCTAAATACCAGGCACCTGTTAAAAGCTGGCCAGTTAAAAGCGACTAGCACGGCCACCAGACTTAAGACATGGTTGTCAGGCTTTCTGGGAAAGGGCTCTCTAACAACCCCCGACTCTTTGGAATTGGGAGTGTTGGTTTGCCTGGAACCAGCTTCCGCTTTTCCTGTACTTCTGGGCTGAGCCAAGGGTTGGCAGAGACAAAAGCCATTCAGCTCTGGGGTCCCGACAACAAGTTGGTTGACCCTGCAGCCATGAGCAGAACTCTCAAAGTCATGTCGCCCAAGCGAGACTCACCCATCTATCCTATCTATCCTGATGCTTGCCTCCTGGGTCCTAATGCCTGTCAGACAAACTTCCTCCCGCCTTTCTTCTCCGAGGCTAGTCCTGCTTCTAAAAACCACTCCCTGTCTCTGGTGCTTTTCTAGTTTCTCCTGTAAGAATGATTTCTAGTATAAACTTCAGGACTCTGTTACCTTCTTTAGGCACCCGGGCTCACCAACCAGAAAGACATAATTTTTGCCCAAAGCCCCATTGTAGGGGGGACTATCTGGAATTTTAGGATCCCTCCTCAGAAAAGCAGGCCTAACAAAAGCTATTCCTGAAGCTAGGATTTGGGGAGCCTCAGAAATTGTATCCTTCCTATTCGTATAAGTGAGGACAAAAGGCATCACTCTTCTAACTCTGGAGATCCCTTCCCTCCCTCAGGGTATGGCCCTTCACTTCATTTTTGGGGCATAACATCTTTATAGGACATGGGTAAGGTGTCAATACTAACAGGAGAATGCTTAGGACTCTGCTGCATCAGTAAGCACAACTATTCTGATCAGCAGGGTCCAGGGACTGTTGTGGGTTCTTGGGCAAGAGGTGTTTCTGCTGCTACGTCAGTGAGGGCGATTATTCCCATCAGCAGGGCCCAGGGACCGTTGCGGGTTCTTGGGCAGGGGGAGAAACAAACAAACCAAAACCACTGGCGGTTTTGTCTTTCAGATGGGAAACACTCAAGCATCAACAGGCTCATTCTTGAAATGCATCCTAAGCCATTGGGACCAATTTGACCCACAAACCCTGAAAAAGACCTGGCTCATTTTTTTCTGCACTACAGCTTGGCCCCAATATTATCTCTCTGATGGGGAAAAATGGCCACCTGAGGGAAATATAAATTACAATACTATCCTGCAGCTTGACCTTTTCTGTAAGAGGGAAGGCCAATGGAGTGAAATACCTTATGTCCAAGCTTTCTTTTCATTGAAGGAGAATACAAAACTATGCAAAGCTTGCAATTTACATCCTACAGGAGGACTTCACAGCTTATCCCCATATCCTAGCCTCCCTATAGCTCCCCTTCCTATTAATGATAAGCCTCCTCTAATCTCCTCCACCCGGAAGGAAATAAGCAAAGAAATCTCCAAAGGACCACAATCCCCCCTGGGCTATTGGTTATGTCCCCTTCAAGCTGTGGGGGGAGGGGAGTTTGGCCCAACCTGGGTACATGTCCCCTTCTCCCTCTCTGATTTAGAGCAGATCAAGGCAGATTTGGGGAAGTTTTCAGATGATCCTGATAGGTACATAGATGTCATACAGGGTCTAGGGCAAACCTTTGATCTCACTTGGAGAGATGTCTTGCTATTGTTAGATCAAACACTGGCCTTTAATGAAAAGAATGAGACTTTAGCTGTAGCCTGAGACTTTGGAGATACCTGGTATCTCAGTCAAGTAAATGATAGAATGACAGCTGAAGAAAGGGACAAATTCCCTACCAGTCAGCAAGCTGTCCCCAGTATGGATCCCCACTGGGACCTCGACTCAGATCGTGGGGACTGGAGTCGTAAACATCTGTTGACCTATGTCCTAGAAGGAATAAGGAGAATTAGGAAAAAGCCCATGAATTGTTCAATAATGTCTACCATAACTCAGGGAAAGGAAGAAAATCCTGCCTTCCTTGAGCAGCTATGGGAGGCCTTAAGAAAATATACTCCCCAGACACCTGACTCACTCGAGGGTCAATTGATTCTAAAAGATAAGTTTATTACCCAATCAGCTGCAGATATCAGGATATAGCTCCAAAAGCGAGCCCTGGGCCCTGAACAAAATCTGGAGGCATTATTAAACCTAGCAACCTTGGTGTTCTATAATAGGGACCAAGAGGAACAGGCCCAAAAGGAAAAGCGAGATCAGAGAAAGGCCACAGCCTTAGTCATGGCCCTCAGACAAACAAACCTTGGGGGTTCAGAGAGGACAGAAAATGGAGCAGGCCAATCACCCAGTAGGGCTTGTTATCAGTGTGGTTTACAAGGACACTTTAAAAAAGATTGTCCAACGAGAAACAAGCCTCCCCCTCGTCCATGTCCACTATGCTGAGGCAATCACTGGAAAGCACACTGCCCCAGAGTGCAATGGTTCTCTGGGCCAGAAGCCCCCAACCAGATGATCCAACAACAGGACTGAGGGTGCCCAGGGCAAGTGCCAGCTCATGTCCATGTCATCACCCTCACTGAGCCCCGGGTATGTTTAACCATTGAGGGCCAGGAAATTGACTTCCTCCTGGATACCGGCACGGCCTTCTCAGTGTTAATCTCCTGTCCTGGACAACTGTCATCAAGGTCCATTACCATCTGAGTAATCCTGGGACAGCCTGTAACCAGGTATTTCTCCCACCTTCTCAGTTGTAACTGGGAGACTTTGCTCTTTTCACATGCCTTTCTTGTTATGCCTGAAAGTCCCACCCTTATTAAGGAGGGATATATTAGCCAAGGCTGGAGCTATTATCTACATGAATATGGGGAACAAGTTACCCATTTATTGTCTCCTACTTGGGAGGGAATCAACCCTGAAGCCTGGGCATTGGAAGGACAATTTGGAGGGGCAAAAAATGCCCACACAGTCCAAATCAGGCTAAAAGATCCCACCACATTTCCTTATCAAAGGCAATATCCCTTAAGGCCTGAAGCTCATAAAGGATTACAGGATATTGTTAAACATTTAAAAGCTCAAGGCTTAGTAAGGAAATGCAGCAGTCCCTGCAACACCCCAATTCCAGGAGTATAAAAACAGAATGGTCAGTGGAAACTAGTGCAAGATCTTGGACTCATCAATGAGGCAGTAATTCCTCTATATCCAGTTGTACCCAACCCCTATACCCTGCTTTCTCAAATACCAGAGGAAGCAGAATGGTTCAGTGTTCTGGACCTCAAGGATGCCTTCTTCTGTATTCCCCTGCACTCTGACTCCCAGTTTCTCTTTGCCTTTGAGGATCCCACAGACCACACATCCCAACTTACGTGGACCGTCTTGCCTCATGGGTTTAGGGATAGCCCTCCTCTGTTTGGTCAGGCACTGGCCCAAGATCTAGGCCACTTCTCAAGTCCAGGCACTCTGGTCCTTCAGTATGTGGATGATTTACTTTTGGCTACCAGTTCAGAAGCCTCATGCCAGCAGGCTACTCTAGATCTCTTGAACTTTCTAGCTAATCAAGGGTACAAGACATCTAGGTTGAAGGCCCAGCTTTGCCTACAGCGGGTCAGATATCTAGGCCTAATCTTAGCCAGAGGAACCAGGGCCCTCAGCAAGGAATAAATACAGCCTATACTGGCTTATCCTCACCCTAAGACATTAAAACAGTTTCAGGGGTTCCTTGGAATCACTGGCTTTTGCCAACTATGGATCCCCAGATACAGCGAGATAGCCAGGCCCCTCTATACTCTAATCAAGGAGACCAAGAGGGCAAATACTCATCTAGTAGAATGGGAACCAGGGGCAGAAACAGCCTTCAAAACCTTAAAGCAGACCCTAGTAAAAGCTCCAGCTTTAAGCCTTCCAGAAAGCAGGGATAGCTCTTGGAGTCCTTACCCAGACTCGTGGGACAACCCCACAACCAGTAGCATACCTAAATAAGGAAATTGATGTAGTAGCAAAAGGCTGGCCTCACTGTTTATGGGTAGTTGCGGTGGTGGCCATCTTAGTGTCAGAGGCTATCAAAATAATACAAGGAAAGGACCTCACTGTCTGGACTACTCATGATGTAAATGGCATACTAGGTGCCAAAGGAAGTTTATGGATATCAGGCAACCACCTGCTTAGATACGAGATGCTACTACTTGAGGGACCGGTGCTTCAAGTGCATACATGTGCAGCCATCAGCCTTGCTGTTTTTCTCCCAGAGGATGGGGAGCCAGTCGAGCATGGCTGCCAACAGGTTGTAGTCCAGACTTATGCCGCCTGAGATCATCTCTTAGAAGTCCCCTTAGCTAATCCTGACCTTAACCTATATACCGATGGAAGTTCATTTGTGGAAAATGGGATATGAAGGGCAGGTTATGCCATAGTTGATGTAACCATACTTGGAAGTAAGCCTCCTCCCCCAGGGACCAGTGCCCAGTTAGCAGAACTAGTGGCACTTACCCGAGCCTTAGAACTGGGAAAGGGAAAAAGAATAAATGTGTACACAGATAGCAAGTATGCTTATCTAATCCTACATGCCCATGCTGCAATATGGAAAGAAAGGGAGTTCCTAACCTCTGGGTGAACCCCCATTAAATACCACAAGGAAATTATGGAGTTATTGCATGCAGTGCAAAAACCCAAGGAGGTGACTGTCTTACACTGTGGAACCCATCAAAAAGGGGAAGGAGAGGGGAGAACACCAGCATAAGTGGCTAGCAGAGGCAGGGAAAGACCAGCAGAAAGAAAGAGACAGAACGTCAGAGAGAGAGAGGAAGAGGCAGACAAAGAGGGAGTCAGAGAGAGAGAGACAGAGAGACAGAAAGTCAAGGAGAGAGAGGAACAGACAAAGAAGGAGTCAGAAAGAGAGAGACAAAGAAGTCAGAGAGAAAGAAAGAGAGATGGAAGTAGTAAAGAAAAAACAGTGTACCCTATTCCTTTAAAAGCCAGGGTAAATTTAAAACCTATAATTGATAATTGAAGGTCTTCTCCGTGACCCTATAACACTCCAATACCACCTTGTTGTCAGTGCAAACAAGGGCATAGCCTGAAAGCACTGAGGCCACTGACAACCCATAGCCTTTCTGTCAAAAATCCTTAACCTAGCAGGTTTCCTAACAGGGATCTAAATCTTAATTAATTACCATACAAAGGTCCAACCAGATCTAGGAGGAAATCCCTTCAGGACAGGACATTAGATGGTTCCTCCCAGGCAATTAAGGAAAAAAAAAAAAAGACACAACGGGTATTCAGTAAGTGATAAGGAACTCTTGTAGAAGCAGTTAGGAAAATTGCCTAATAATTGGTCTGCTCAAACATGCCTGCGAGTTGTTTGCACTCAGCCAAATCTTAAAGTACTTACAGAATCAGGAAGGAGCCATCTATACCATTTCTAAGTTAATATGGACTGAACGAGGTTTTATTAATAGCAAAGAAAAATTGAAATCCCAAACTTACAAGGTTTTCAACTAAAGTAAAGTTTGCTAAAAGTTAATAGTGTAACATGCATTATCCTACTACCACACACTCTGAAAGGATTTCTCAGACAGTTTGCAAGAAATAACGAAATCTATCCAGTAAGGATAGTAACTATAATCCCAAATAGACTCTTTGGCAGCAGTGACTCTCCAAAACCACCAAGGTCTAGACCTCCTCACTGCTGAGAAAGGAGGACTCTGCACCTTCTTAGAGGAGGAGTGTTGTTTCTACATTAACCAGTCAGGGATAGTACGAGATGCTGCCTGGCATTTACAGGAAAAGGCTTCTGAAATCAGACAACGCCTTTCAAACTCTTATACCAACCTCCGGAGTTGGGCAACATGGCTTCTTCCCTTTCTAGGTCCTGTGGCAGCCATCTTGCTATTACTTACCTTCGGGCCCTATATTTTTAACCTCCTTGTCAAATGTGTTTCCTCTAGGATTGAGGCCATCAAGCTACAGATGGTCTTACGAATGGAATCCCAAATGAGCTCGACTAACAACTTCTATAGAGGACCCCTGGACTGACCTGCTGGCCCTTTCACGGCCTAAAGAGTTCCCCTCTGGAGGACACTATCACTGCAGGGCCCCTTCTTTGCCCCTGTCCAGCAGGAAGTAGCTAGAGTGGTCATCGGGTAATTCCCAACAGCAGTTGGGGTGTCCTGTTTAGAGGGGAGATGGAGAGGTGAAGCCGACTGGGCTTCTGGGTCAGGTGGGGACTTGGGGAAATTTTCTGTCTAGCTAAAGGATTGTAAACACACCAGTCAGTGCTCTGTGTCTAGCTAAAAGTTTGTAAATGTACCAATCAGCACTCTGTAAAAATGGACCAATCAGCACTCTGTAAAATGGACGAATCAGTGCTCTGTAAAATGGATAAATCAGCAGGATGTGGGTGGGGCCAAATAAGGGAATAAAAGCTGGCCACCTGAGCCAGCAGCGGCAACCTGCTTGGGTCCCCTTCCACGCTGTGGAAGCTTTGTTCTTTCGCTCTTCGCCGTAAATCTTGCTGCTGCTCACTCTTTGGGTCTGCACAAACTTTAAGAACTGTAACACTCACTGCGAAGGTCTGCAGCTTCACTCCTGAAGTCAGCAAGACCACGAACCCACCAGAAGGAAGAAACTCCGGACACATCTGAACATCTGAAGGAACAAACTCCGGACACACCATCTTTTTTAATTTAATTTAATTTAATTTAATTTAATTTTATTATTATTATACTTTAAGTTTTAGGGTGGATGTGCACAATGTGCAGGTTTCTTACATATGTATACATGTGCCATGTTGGTGTGCTGCACCCATTAACTCGTCATTTAGCATTAGGTATATCTCCTAATGCTATCCCTCCCCCCTCCCCCCACTCCACAACAGTCCCCGGAGTGTGATGTTCCCCTTCCTGTGTCCATGTGTTCTCATTGTTCAATTCCCACCTATGAGTGAGAACATGCAGTGTTTGGTTTTTTGTCCTTGTGATAGTTTGCTGAGAATTATGGTTTCCGGCTTCATCCATGTCCCTACAAAGGACATGAACTCATCATTTTTTATGGCTGCATAGTATTCCATGGTGTATATGTGCCACATTTTCTTAATCCAGTCTATCGTTGTTGGACATCTGGCTTGGTTCCAAGTCTTTGCTATTGTGAATAGTGCCGCAATAAACATACGTGTGCATGTGTCTTTATAGCAGCATGATTTATAATCCTTTGGGTATATACCCAGTCGGACACACCATCTTTAAGAACTGTAACACTCACCACGAGGGTTTGCAGCTTCATTCTTGAAGTCAGCGAGTCCAAGAACGCACTGGAAGGAACCAACTCCGGACACATCATCATGCCCTTGATCTATGTTCAGACACTCCTTGATTCTCTGTTAGAGGGCCTGTCTGATTTGTGAAATATATGTGGTCAGTTCACTTTAATTTTTATTATTATTATTTTTTTGAGATGGAGTCTCACTCTGTCACCCAGGCCAGAGTTCAGTGGCCCTATCTTGGCTCACTGCAACCTCCACCTCCCTGGTTCAAGTGATTCTCCTGCCTCAGCCTCCCAAGTAGCTAGAATTACAGCCATGTGCCACCATGCCCAGCTAATTTTTGTATTTTTATTAGAGACGGGGTTTCACCATGTTGGACAGGCTGGTTTCAAACTACCCCAGGTGATCTGCCTGCCTTGGCCTCCCAAAGTGCTGCAATTACATGTGTGAGCTACCGCCCCCAGCCAGTTCACCTTAATTCTGGTGGTTATAACCATTGGTTCCACACAATTCATTCATCCTGACTTCTTAGACGGGTCCTGGGGATATTACGGAAAAAATAAAGGAGAAAACACCCTTAAATGGCATGATTCTTAGGGCTTCAACTGCCACTGCCTTGAGAAGCTCACCTTACATATTGCTTTCCACCATCTACAAGCAGGTGATACACACTTCTACATCTCTAACCCCAGATCTTGTTCCCCATCTCCAGACCCATATATAAACACATCTATGGACACTGCCTCTGATGTCTCAACATATTCAGAAGTGAACTTATAATCACTTTCCCCTAGTCTGTTGTTTCCTGATGTTTCTAATCCACCCAATGTCTAAGCAAAACCCTTGGAGTCATCTAAAAGGCTCTTACCTTCCCTTTGAAAATTTTGAGTTACCTAATCCTGTAGATTCTACTTTTTGAAAATAGTCTTTTTTTAAATTTTATTTAGAATCGGGGTACATGTGCAGGTTTGTTGTATAGGTAAATTGCATGTCGCAGGGGTTTTGTGTACAGATTGTGTCATCACCCAGATAATAAGTATGGTACCTGATAGGTTGTTTTTCGATCCTCACCCTCTAAACCTCCACCCCCAAGTAGGCCCTGGTGTCTGTTGTTCCCTTCTTTGTGTCCATATGTACTCAATGCTTCGCATCCACTTATAAGTGAGAACATGTGGCATTTTGTTGTCTGTTTCTGTGTTAGTTCACTTTGGCTATCTTCCATCCATGTTGCTGAAAAGGACATGATCTTGTTCTTTTTTGAAGACGGTTTTAATTCCTCTCCTCTTCAGCTCAATGTGAATTTCTGGAGCTGCTGTTTCTTCTTCTTCTCCTTCTTTTTTTTTTTTTTTTTGAGACAGAGTCTTAATCTGCCACCCAGGCTGAAGTGCAGTAGCATGAGCTCATTGCAACCTCTGCCTCCTGGATTCAAGCAATTCTCATGCCTCAGCCTCCCAAATAGCTGGGATTACAGGCATGTGCCACCACGCTCTGCTAATTTTTTGTATTTTTGGTAGAGATGGGTTTCACCATGTTAACCAGGCTGGTCTTCAACTCCTGACCTCAAGTGATCCACCTACCTTGGCCTCCCAAAGTGCTGGGATTACAGGCGTGAGCCAATGCACTCGGCCAGGAGCTGTTTCTTATCTGGGTTCTCTCTCATTCTGTACCTTGCTGCCAAGCTATTCAAAAAGCAAAAACCTTCATGCTGCTTCTGTAGATTTCAAGATAAAGTTCAGGCATACAAGAATCTTCATGCCCTGGAACCTGCCTCCCTTACTGTTCACATTTCCCACTACTGCCCTTTCCATACTCACACACCAAATTCCGGAGCTACCAAACTATGTATTGTTTTTGGTCACGTTGTTTCATATGGCAATCCACCACCAAGGGATGGATGCTGTTTAAAAAAAAATTTTACATTGCTGTGGTTTGACTGTATGTGTCCCTCCAAAATTCATATGTTGAAAACTAATCTCCAATGTGATAGTATTGAGGTGGGGCCTTTAGGGGGGCAGGGTGCTCATGAATGGGACTCGTGTCCTTATGAAAGAGGGTCTAGTGAGATCCAGAACGCCTTTTGTGCCCATTTACCATGTGAGGATGCCATTTTGACATAGAGAGTGAGCCTTCACCAGACGCTGTTTCTTACAGTTCTGGAGGCTGGGAAGTCCAAGCCCAAGGTATCAGCAATTTCTACTATATTATAAATTATCCAGTCTGTGGTATTTTGTAACAGCAGCCTGAACAGACTGCGACAGACATCTTTGTCTGTTTCCTTTACATACATAACAAATAGTTGATTGTGGTTAATTTTTTCTGTGTTCTCTGCTGAGCACCTTTATTTCGCTATAGTTTCACCAAGGAGAGAGGATCACGAGAAGGTTCTCTTTCATTTCTTTGATATAGTGGATTAATGACAGTTAATTTTATTAACCATCATTTTAATTTTATAATGGTTAATTTTATTTTTATTTATTTATTGTTTAAATTTTTTTAATGTTTTGAAATTTCAAAACAGTTTTGATGAACACATAATAATTGCACATATTTATGCAATAGATAGTGATATTGTGATATGTACACATAGTGATCAGCTTAGGGTAATTAGCATATTCATTATCTCAAACATTTATTATTTTTTTCCTTCTAGCTATTTGAAGCTATATATTATTGCTAATTATAGTTATGATGGTTAATTTTGTGTGTGAACTTGAGTGGGCCATAGGGTGCTGGGATTAAACATTGTTTCTGGTGCACCTGTGAGGATATTTCTACATGAGACTGACTTTTGAATTGGTAAACTCAGTAAAGTAGATTGCCCTCCCTAATGTGGTTGGGCATCATCGGATCTTTTGAGCACTGCATAGAATGAAAAGTGGAGAAAGGAGGAATTCATTCTGTTTTGTCCCGCCTCACTGCTTGAGCTGGGACATATCATCTCATCTTCTCCCAACCTTGGGGTAGGATTTACATCATTAGCTCCCCTGGTTCTCCTGTGTCTCTAGCCTGCAGACAGCGAGGGACTTAGCCCCCAAAATTGTATGAGCCAGTTCTTCAGAATAAATCTCTCTCTTATTCTGTTTCTCTAGAGAACCCTGACTAATACAGTGGTGGATATAAAGATAAACCAGGCATTGATCCTGCCTTCAATGGAAGGTAAGGCATGAGCACACAAAACTCTGAAAAAAGGTAGATGCTGGCTGGGCCTGGTGGCTCATGCCTATAATCCCAGCACTTTGGGAGCCTGAGGCAGGAGAATCGCTTGAGTCCAAGAGTTTGATACCAGCCTGGGCAACAGAGGCAGACCTCGTGTCTACAAAAATTTAGCCAGGTGTGGTGGCTCACGCTTATAGTCCCAGCTACTCAGGAGACTGAGGTGGGAGGACCACTTGAGCCTGGGAGATGGAGGCTGCAGTGAGCTGTGATCACACCGCTGCACTCCAGCCTAGTAACAGAGCAGGACTGTCTCCAAGAAAACTTCCCAAAATAGATGCTCATAATAAGATAATTTGGACTCTATAGTAAAGAGAGTCTTTCCACCGCAGGCCTTCCAGAAGCACAGGGAGGTCTCTTGGAAGTGAACTTCCAGGCTCTGTGCCTCTCTCTGTTGTTCTCCTTGCCCTTGTAGTACTGAAGGTTAACTTATTTTATTTATTTATTTATTTATTTTCAAGACAGAATCTCGCTCTGTCACCAGGCTGGAGTGCAGTGGCACGATCTCAGCTCACTGCAATCTCCGACTCCCTTGTTCAGGCGATTCTCCTGCCTCAGCCTCCCGAGTAGCTGGGATTACGGGCTTGCGCCACCACACCCAGCTAATTTTTGTACTTTTAGTAGAGACGGGGTGTCACCATTTTGGCCAGGATGGTCTCGATCTCTTGACCTTGTGATCCACCTGCCTCGGCCTCCCAAAGTGCTGGGATTATAGGCGTGAGCCACTGTACCCGGCCTGAAGGTTAACTTATTTTTCTAAATCATAACACCTTCAGATGTGCCCTCTTGTTAGCATAGAAAGGAAGAAACATGTCTTTTATTGGTTAAAAAGACTTTCAGAAAGCTGGAAGTCTAAGAAATAGTTGTCCACAGACCACATGACCTGAATTCTAAGTTTAAGATTCTGTTTATCTTCATCCTCCTGAGACGACTCACACTGTCAAGGACTCTCTATCCACCATCAGCATCTTATACAGGTAAATAACATTAACATGGAAGGGATAAAGGAGGCAAAGAGGTGTCTTGAAAAGGTCAGAGAGAACATGGAATGCATCAGTGAAAGGGAGGGACAGGGTTTTGCTCAGTAGCATCATGTTAGCTGCTTGGAGGCAGGTGGTGTGGGCTGACTGGGTGTACGCAGTATATGTCTTAGTATCAGCTAAGTCACCCTTTTTTTCCTTAACAGCAGCTTCCCAAAGTCACTGTGCAGCAGCTTTTCCCTATGGGTGGAGTCCTAGAAAACTGCTTAGATAGACGTTTAAGGATAGAGCACTCTGAGAACCCCCACTCCAAAACGTTTGTGGTTGTGTCCTCATTGAACATTTGTTTAATTTTTTTGTTGATGGGTATTTACTCTGCAGGCAGGACTCTCTAGCTGGCTATAGAATGTCTGTTTTCTGGTGTCAATAGCTTTATGGGCCTAAAGCCTGAAGTAGCTGGAGGTCCAAAGGTAACTGCACAATCCACTTCCCCTCACAGCTTGGTACATGTAATAAATGCTCAATAAAGATTTGTTACAGAAATGGACAGATTCTCAGGTAAAAGACAAATCAGATTCCAAAGAAATATCTGTTTCAGGTTTGACACAACATACTGTGCAAAGGTGGCCAATAAATTACTCATAGAACAAATCACAAGTGACTGAACTATGGGGTAGTAATTTCTGAAGGCTCAAGTGGTTTATGCAGTCCTCAGCATCCCTTGACGGAATTATAGCACCATAATTCAAATAGCTCCTGTTTCCTTGACAGACACATACCATGGATTTGAATCCCAAATCTTGCCCATGGTTGACACTCTGTTTTTATCCACCCCTGCATTCTTTTGCTGCCCAAGAAATTCTTTTGTTGAAGCCTCTAGTGTTAGGTACATTTTTCTATTTCTTTGTGTTATGTTGTTTCCATGTATTACTGGGTATTTAACTTATTAACGAGACTACATACATGAACATTTTGTGAATGGCTTTCTTTTGGGATTTTGGAAGTTTATTTCTTTTAGCGGTCAGTTTTTGCATCCTGTATGAAGCAGAGTGAGGCTAGTGCACGGTGCATTCTTTGCTTAAGTGCTAGCATGTATGCATTTAGTCTGATCTTTGTACACAAAAATAGAGAGGTAGTGAAATGAGAAAGATTCCTTTGTCCCCCTCGCAGGGCATGTGATGGGGGTGTGGCTCGCTTCTTCAGTGCCCTGCTGCTCAGACCTCTAGGGGAGGATACAGATGGGCAGGCTGTGGGACTCCCACCCCACAGCAATGTCTAGGGGTGAACGTTTACAGCTCCTGAAGCCCCAGTGGGCATGTGTTACCGGGTGCTCTTTCAGTTTGCCTTTCTTTTTCTATAGGCGGCTTGTGTTAGTCAGCTCAATTAGACCCTCTACCCTGTCTAAAGGATAGAGGGTTTTCTGTATCCTGGAGTTTCTTGCTTTGGTGTACCGGAAGAATCGGATCACATGTGGGCTTGGAGAATGAATGCAAGGTTTTATGAGTGGAAGTAGCTCTCAGCAGATGGGGGAGGCAGAAGGGAGACGGTTTTCCAGTGGAGTCGGGCCACCTGGCAGCCAGGCTTTCCTCCAACTGCCCCAGCCAAACTCCATGTGGTTCTGCCGGTCAGTGGCCTGTTGGCATGCCGGTGCTGGTGCTTTCCTTTCCACGTCCAGCCACCTGTGTGTTCCTCCGCTGATGTGCTCCTTTCGACGTCCAGCTGCTTCTGTCTCTGCCCTGCTAGGGTCTCGGGTTTTTAGAGGCACAGGATGGGGACATGGCAGGCCAGGGCGGTCTTGGGAAATGCAACATTTGGGCATGAAGGCAGGAGTGCCTGACCTCACCTATTTCCCTGAGGGTGGAGCCCTAGCCAGGGACCACACCTTTCCTCTCCCCAGCACTTCCCTTCCCCACTTCCGTATCATTTAAAGGGACCGTTCTTCCTTTCCCAGCACTTCCGTATCATTTTCCCCTTCTGAAGAAGTACATCTAACTGCCTTTAGAGTATGGACGATGACAGGTCTTAGCTGCATCTTGCTGACAGGGGTCATTGTTTTGGAGGAAAACAGCAGTCAGACTCCTCCCAAAGGTCTATCTAAGTATTCCTAGCAAAGGTAAGCCATCATCTGAGGCTCTGGTTGCCTGTTTGGAGTTTAATGGTTTCTAGGTGTGAGAGAAAAAAACAAGTTTTATAAGGTTAAGTATGCATGGGTTAAACATGTGTATTATACACAGAAAGGATTTAGTGCCAAAGATTACAGAGACAAGAAGTAAAGTATACTAATAACAACATTGTACCCTGAGCTGTTTCACTCTGGTGAAAGAAATTAAACCTTGCATGGGAGCAGATAAAGTTGTAGAAGAGAGATAACAGTTCTTGCCATATCTTCAGCGGTTAACAGGTGCACCCTGGGAATACCTGTATCTTCTCTCTGTTTCCCGGGCCTGCCTGTCTCTATTACAAAAGACAGAGGTGGCCACTTTCAGGAGGTCCTCTGACGTACTTTCTGGTCCCAGGGCTCGTTTCTGCAACTTCCTCCTGATGTCAGGAGCTGCCTGAGTAATATATTTGCCCTTTAGGATTAGCTGTCCCTCGACTGAATCAGGAGATAGAGACTTACCAAGTCCTCCCTTAGCCTTTCCAGGAAGGCAGTGGAATTTTTATCAAATCCCTGGTCGATCATGGACAACTTAGTATAATTGAGAGGCTTGGTCCCATAAGCCTTCCATTATGCACACCTGAGACTTCCACCTCATCATTGGGATCCCATTTAGGGTCATTCATTGGTACTGCTTCTCTTCCAGCTGGATAATGTTTGCCCCCTTCCCTGACACTATATGTGAAACAAAGCTCATCCCCAAATCTCTCTGCTACTTGCAGAGCAGCCTGCTTCTCATTGTCTGTTAGGGTCTGATTCAAAAGTAACATTACATCTCTCCAGGAGAGTTCAAATATTTGAGTGAAATCATGGAAAGCCTCTATATATCTATCAGGGTCATCTGAAAACTTGCCAAGATCTCCCTTAATTTGCCCTAAGTTCTATAGGGAGAAGGGAATTTGAACCCTACTGGGCCCAAATTCACTGGGCATCTGTTGAGGTGGGGGCAAGAGAGAGACTGGGCTTGTTTAGGGCAAGGATTTTTAGGAGGGGGTAAGTGAGAGGCTGGAACACTATAGACTGGTAGGGGTGAACCTGGAGGGGCAGGGCTGGAGAGAGCTGGCTCCTCTGCTGGGGGTGCTTCTGGGACTCCTATCTTTACTTCCCGGGGCTTGCCCCTTGCAGCCTACCTGAGATAGCAAACAGGAGGGCTGGATCAATCCTACACTGTCGGCAAAGGTCTGGATTGCCTTGCAAGTTATAGAAAGCCTGCACATATGGGGTCTCAGACCATCTGTCCTCAGGTCTACAGAAAAGTTCCTCTTTTTCCACTGCACTATGTACCCATGAAGCAGTGAAACTCTGGAGAATAGGAATTAACCACCCTCACCTGTGCCTCCATTTCTTCCTGCTGTTGGCAAACTTTGAGTTTTCTGGGCCTGTTTATGCCATGAAGCATGGCCTCCTTCTTTGGGGTGGAGGGTTCAGTTGGCAGGAATTGGTCATGCCCGTTTACATTGTGCCTGTTGCCTGGCTTTGGACCCACTAAGACCTGGTTTTTCTTTCTAGGGCCTCTGCCTGAAGCTTGGAATAGAGTTAGGTATTGAAAAGGCATTTTAGAGGCTGTTTGTATCTGTTTGGAGTGTCTCAAATGTGTCCCGTCAAAGTTCTCAGCCAGCAGGCGTCATTCCTCTGTTAAGTTCCCTATCAGAAACACAGTTGGGTGTTGCGGGGTGGGGGGCCCTTTCACTTAGAAAAGGAAAAAAGAGAAAAACAGTTTAAAGGGAAAGAGGGGAAGATTCTGGGGGAAGAAAACCTTGCTTAGTGCAAGTGGGTGCCCCTAATCTCTATATCTTTTCCCCAAACCGGGTTGAATTCCATGGCCAGGAGAGAAAAGGTTCCATCGGCTTGGCAGGCTAGAAGCACCCTGTAGGGTCATGGCTACCATCTCCGCTTTCTCCCGCCCCGCTCATAGCTGTTGGGCTCGGCCTTTGCCTGCTGTGGGCACGGCTAGGCACCTGTGGGAAAGGATAAGGAGAGGTGTCCTAAGCCATGCGTTCCTGCAGCTGTCACGGTAGTGGCATACATGGCACTTCTAGGAACAGTTGGTCTGATTTGCACCTTTGGCAGCTGAGCCAAGTGCTCACTTTACTTAGTAACATTGCTGTACCCTGTAGCAAAACATTGTAAAGAAAGAGATAAGAGCCATTTAAAACCATGTGAAAGAAAAGAGACAAAGTCTGGGGGTTTTGACTTGCCAGTTAGGGCAGAATTTTTATTTTATTTTATTTTATTTATTTTTTTGAGATGGAGTCTCGCTCTGTCGCCCAGGCTGGAGTGCAGTGGCGCGATCTCGGCTCACTGCAAGCTCCGCCTCCCGGGTTCATGCCATTCTCCTGCCTCAGCCTCCCGAGTAGCTGGGACTACAGGCGCCCGCCACCACGCCCGCCTAATTTTTTGTATTTTTAGTAGAGACGGGGTTTCACCGTGTTAGCCAGGATGGTCTCGATCTCCTGACCTCGTGATCCGCCCGCCTTGGCCCCCCAAAGTGCTGGGATTACAGGCGTGAGCCACCGCGCCCGGACCAGTTAGGGCAGAGTTTTGAAGGGAAACAGAGCCTGTTAACCACAGGAAAGAGAGAGAAGTGGCAGGGTTTTGGAAGGGAGGTGGACCCAACAGATTCACATTCATTCACACTCACCTTCCAGGATGCCGGGGCGAGGCCCCGGTTGAAACAGGAAAGGTTCCCTCGTCCACTCTCGCACGCCCTGCGGGATGACAGGGGAGCCTTTCCCGTTTCAGTAGGTAGGAGATAAGCTGTCTTCTTTTAGTTTTTCCTTCTTCTGCTGCAACTCTTCGCCGCTATTAAGAATTTGAACTCATAGTAATATGCTATTGTTTTTAGCCCTCGTTCCTGTGCTGTTATATGCTTAAAAGAGACACGTCAGGAACACTTACAACGCAACTTATATTTTTAAATAACTGCCCCTGTAAAGTCACTCAATGGGGATCATTTTTTCTCCTTATATTAGATGAAATTTCAGGCAAGCCTCATTGTTTATGTGCTCGCTCTTACACAGTGAAAAGCAGGGGATCTCTTTAGTCCCTTAAAACAGTTGCAGTTCCATTGTTAATACCTCCAGTCAAGTGTAATAATCAAAACTCTGAATTGCATTCAACACTGAAGTTACTTCCTTGCTTTGCTTGGATTTCCATCAGAAGAAGGGCATGGTACATTTATTTTCTTTCCTCTGTCAAGTCTTCTACCTCCTACCTCCATCCCATCCCATCCATGCATTAGTTAGCCTCAACTTCTGACCCTTCTAGAGTTAGAGCAGAGGAAGAGAGGGCATGTTTAACTCTGCTGCCATCAAAATGGTTGTAGATATTTGCACATGCTTAAAGATGGCTTTCTTGTGGGTGCATTCACCGGCCCTTTAGAGACTTTCTAGTACTGGGGATCTATGACCTGGCAGCTGCAATGACACAGGCAAATGCAACTCCTCTGGCTGACCCTTTATGACTCCACTGTTACCCTTTGGTTAGAATTCTACCACTCTTCTAAAAGCCCTCTTAGGCAAAGTCTCTAAGATGGTACCATTCTCTGCCTTTCTTTATGTTAAAATGTAGACCTCTCCACTCAAATGGTGAACTCTATACCAGGCCTCATTCACTGAGCTTGAGGTGACTCCCCCATTCCTCACCCACCTCTGCTAGACGTGCTTATGTGGTCTAAGACTCCACTGAGGAAAGCGAGATTAGTTGGTGCCTATTGTCTTGGGCTGTCAGTTGAAGGTGAGGGCATAGTTCCAGTTTAATATCTTGTAAAGTGTAGCATATACATGTGAAAGAGAACCAAGTAATTTTCTAGGTGGGCTTGATATTCATGAGTCTGTTAAGAGCCACTGATGAGCAGGACTCTGGTGTCTGTTCTCCTCAGGCTTGATGTGGGAGGCGCTCATCACAAGGGCTCTGCTCCAAGTATTCCCACCTGTTCAGTTCTTTCTCATAAGCTCCTATCTCTTTCTTTGTCACTGCAAAATAAGAGAATAAAAATTCTTCATTGGCCCAAATAACTGGTTAAGCTAGCCCTGTATTTTGTCTCTGAAGTGAGATTCTGAGGTACTCTGGTGATATCCCCTTAGTATGTAGGAATATTTCCATATGTTCTTTTAATAACCTGAAATGAAACTAATACACATACATAAAAATCAATCATATAATCAAAAGATATTTATTGCTCACCTCATGTTCTGTTCTTTGTTAGGGACTTGAAGGGACTAAAGATTATTCTTTAATATGAGAATACTAAAATATGTGTATGTGAAAAGATACCTAGCAAATGAGCAAGGGACTGTCAAGGAGCCTGGCTTGACTAGTAGGAGCCTTGGCTTTATGAAAAGTAAGTGGAATTTGTTGAGAAAAATTGTTATTAAAGTTTCACTTCTAAAGCCAAAACTGAAGGGTAAATTGTTCATAGAAGCTTATTCCCAAATTATGATTCAGGGAAGTTATAATAATTTGTGTTTTGCCAGGTGCAGTTGCTCGCGCCTGTTATCCCAGCACTTTGAGAGGCCAAGGTGGGCGGATCACTTGAGGTCAGGAGTTTGAGACCAGCCTGGCCAACATGGTGAAACCTTGTCTCTACTAAAAATACAAAAATTAGCCGGGCGTGATGGCACACACTTGTAATCCCAGCTACATGGGAGGCTGAAGTGGGAGGATCACTTGAACCTGGGAGGTGGAGGTTGCAGTGAGCCGAGAGCATGCCACTGCACTACAGCCTGGGTGACAGAGTGGGACTGCATCTCAAAAAGAAAATTGCGTTTTAATTATACTTGTTTATAACATTAGGGCTAATCTAAAACTTATAAAAATAGAAATTTATGCTTTTAAAGTCTGGTTGCTGTTGTACCCCTGGCACACTATTGCATCCTGATGACAGCATGTGCAAATTGCAGGGAATGTGAACAAAAACCAATCTTAGGTGTTGAATCTGTTTTTAAAAAGTGATAATTTTTTGATATGTTAAAATCAGAAATGATTAATAAAATACAATTATACATTATTATAAATATAAAATTATAAAATAAATGGAAAAGATTATAGGTACAGATGATTTCAGAGTAAGTGAGGGCAGTGTAGGTAAGTGTGATCATCAGTGGCCCTGGGGAAGATGTGGATCTGCTTCTAGATGAATGAATAGTGTTCAGGCAAAAAGCAGTAGAAGAGGGATTCCATTAGATTTGGGTCTTCAAGAATAGTCTCTATTTTATCATTCTTTCATTTTCACATGTAGCACAGCGCAGGGCACAGTGGGTGACCTTGTTAATAATAAACTATATGTATGCTGGATATAGTCAACTGATTGGTTGAATGCAGTGGAAGGGTCATGTCGTAAGTGGCAACTGACTTTATAAATAGATCTGTGCAAGATGGCAATGTATAGTGGATACTAAGAAGAGGAGTTTGGACTGTGTATGGTATGCAATGAGGTCTTTTGAGTGGAAGATTAGTAAGTTGATAAAGGAGGATTAATCCAGCAGAAGTGTGCATTAGAAGGGAAGAGCAGACTGTCCTATAAATTTCTTCGTTTCTTTCCACATTGTTGCTCTCAACTTGGGTCCTTATTGCTCCTTGGCAGAACCTCCTGCTCAGACATTTTTGATGGCTCCTCACCATTACAGAATAGTCTCAATTCTTTAGCCTGCTTATCAAAGACTTCTAATATCCTGTTCCTAAAGATCTCATTCTCCTGCTCTTCTATGTGAAGTTTCCTCACTTGAACTCCATTCTCCATCCAGACAACTGATTTAGTCAAATTGGGTCATACTCTTGGTTGCCTTCGTGTCTTGGCTTGCGGGGTTTCCATCTTGTCTGCTTATCTGTGCTCATCCCATGCAGTGTGGCATATCAAGTTTATCCTTCTTCAGGAAGTCTTCCTGCCCTGAGAAATAGTCCCTTCTTCTTAAGGTTTGAAGCAATTATTGTTTATCTCTTCCCTTAGCAACTAGCATGTGCCTATGTCATTTTCTATTCATCTCTTGTTTTATATTGCATCCACTTTTGAGATTATACATTTTCAGAAAATATACTTTTCTTGCATTTAAAAATATTTTCTTGGAGGATTCAATAAATATACAGTGTTCAAGGTGAGGATGGTGAAAATAGAATGGAAAAGGCAAATAGATGAGTGATTTTGAAGGAAGAATTCACAGAACTTTGTAATTACTGACCCACCTAAATCCTTCTTGGGCTTATTTTTATTTTTATGCTGTACAAACTTTTGAAATAATAGGTTCCATATACACCCATACTCCTGTGCAAGGAAGTTCTTCCTTTTATTTGTCCTAAATTGCCCTTTATACTGATGATCCTATTTAAAGCATAAGGTCTATATGCCTTTTAAAGGTTAGGGCACTGTTTAGCCAGACACCCAAATATTTATATACTGAGACCTACGTGAGTGTTTTCTGATTAATACCTGTCTTCTTGGGAAAGCTGTGAATAATGTCAACATGAACTACATTATTCCTGCTAAAAATTCATCCATTTAGTTTAACTTGCATGTAACGACACCTGAAAGTCAGGAGCTGTTTGCTGAGCACTGCTGCAATACTGTTGCAGCTCATTCATAACGAATGGCAATGAAGTACCTTCAGCATACCAAATGGGAACATCAGCATAAATGGGAAATTTAGGGGCTTCTGGAAACCTTTAATATGTGATGAATGTAAAGGGAAAATGCAATGAGTCTCAGAGAAATTCTTGTTTGGAAAAAAAGACACCTTTAGTAACAAAATTGAATTGGGAGTTAAAACTATGGTATTATCCATATGCTTTACATTAATGCCAGTTGAAATTTATCAAAATAGCTGAACAATAAAGAAGGCAGGGATGGAGCTATTAAATAGATCCAGCAAGGGCTGGGGAAAGGCAGAACACCATTCCCTTTTGACCTTTCTGTTTCTTCTTTATGATTCCTTTTTTTTCTCTCTTGCTACATGACTCTGTTTATGCTTTTTCTTCCCTCTTGAAAACTGCTATTTACCCTGGTCTTTGATCAGCCTCTCCTTTTTTTTTTGTCAAATTGCAGATTCCTTTCCCCACTCCCTCTTCTTTCTTGCTCTCTGAGTCTACCCTTTCTCCACCCCAGATGTTCTGTTCCCTCTCTGTTGTAAGTTACAGATTTCTGCAATGCGAGAGACCTCGAATTATCTAATTAGCCTTCTCTTATAGGTGAGGCTGAAAAGCCCAAAAGAAATTAAGTTATTTGTTCAAGTCACCTGGACCATGAGCAAAAAAGCAGTATGTCTTAGTACTGAAAGAGACTGTATGTTATCTAACACAGAAACACTTTCCTTAAATAGTTAGACTGTTGGAGGATACCTCCAGGGAGGGCAACCCACTTCTTGGTTAGGTGCATTATTACATTATTGGAGAACTGTGAAAGCAAGCTATTCTTTAGGTTATGTTCTGCCTCCCTATGGAGAAAAGGGCATGCTTATACACCACTGATGGGAATGTAATTAGTTCAGTTACTATGGAAAGCAGTTCAGCAATTTCTCAATGAACTTAAGATAGAACTACCATTTCACCCAGCAATCCCATTCATTACTGTGTATATATTCAAAAGAAATAAATTGTTCTACCAAAAAGACACATGCATGTGTATGTTCATTGCAGCACTATTCACAATAGCAAAGACATGGAATCAAACTAGGTGCCCGTCAATGGTGGAGTGGATAAAGAAAATGTGGTACATACACACAATGGAATACTACACAGCCATAAAAAGGAACAAAATCATATCTTTTGTGACAACATGGATGCAGCTGGAGGCCATGATCCTAAGAGAATTAATACAGGAGCAGAAAACCAAATACTGTGTGTTATCACTTATAAGTGGGAGCTAAGCAGTGGATACTCATGGACATGAAGATGGGAACAATAGACACTGGGGACTACTAGAGTGAAGGAAAAAGGGAGGGAGCAAGGCCTGAAAAACTATTGGGTACTATGCTTAGTACCTGGGTGATGGGATTAATTGTAACCCAAACCTCAGCATCATGCAATATACCCAGGTAACAAACCTGCACATTCCCCCATGAATCTAAAATAAAAGTTGAAATTATTAAAAACAATTCTGCTTCCCTGTAATTTTCTTCCAGGATCCTGCTTCTGTCCTCCAGAGTTACAGTGAACACATTCTTTTATGTGCTTGTTCTTTAAATATGTGAAGAAGTAATTAGACTCCGAAGCCTTTCCTTCTCTAGGCCAAACACCTCCAAGTTCTGTTAATGGTACCTCATGTCACATGGTTTACACATTTCTCATCACTTTAGAGGCCTCGCTGGATGATCCCTAGCCAGTGTCATCTTTGTAGGATGACAACAAATCAGGCACAATACTTCAAATAATATTTAATCTACACAGACTGTAGAATCATTACCTATCATGATCTGGGAGTTCTATCATTTTAATAATGCTCATCGTGTTGTGCTCATATAGTGTTGGCTTATCCTGAGATTAAGCCCAGCTAAAATCTTCAGGTCTCATCCATTCGAACTTCCAAGAAGGCAGATTTTTCCAGTTCTTCTTCTTCTTCTTTTTTTTTTTTGGGGACAGCGTTTTGCTCTTGTTGCCCAGGCTGGAGTGCAATGGCATGATCTCGGCTCACTGCAACCTCCGCCTCCTGAGTTCAAGTGATTCTCCTGCCTTAGCTTCCCGAGGTAGCTGGGATTACAGGTGCCCGCCACTACACCTGGCCAATTTTTGTATTTTTAGTAGAGACGGGGTTTCACCATGTTGGCCAGGCTGGTCTCAAACTCCTGACCTCACATGATTGACCTGCCTCGGGCTCCAAAGTGCTGCGATTACAGGCTTGAGCCACTGCGCCTGACCTCTTTCCAGCTCTTCTTATTTGATTATGTAGATGATTATAACATTAATTTGGGTTTTAATAGGTATTCCTATAAAATTTGGTCATTTTGGTTTTGTGCCATTTCCTCCAGCAACCTGGGCTCTTTCTAGGCTGCTGATTTCACTTGAGTTCCTGTACTTTACAGCGTATTGACATCGTCCTACTGGTGAACAACCACCTTTGATCAATGTGTAAATTTATGTTTGCTACAATTAAGTATCCATGCTGTTCCTGATATCTTCCAGATAAAATATTCAGTGACAGAGTCATGTGCTGCAGAGTGGAATGGAGTACACCCCGTCTAGGGTCAATTAAGATTCATTTGATTATAAGCCATAGTAGTCAACTGGGAGAACTCTGTCTTATTTCACAAAGCTAAAGGAAGAATGGGATAATCAAACCTTGAAATGGGCAATTTGGTGCTAAGTGTTTGTGACATTTTCTAGAGATTGGTGACTGCCAGCTCCTAGGTCTTTCCATTCTACCTTTCAAAATTCTTGGTGAAAGAATCTGATTGATCCAACTTGGGTGTCATTGGGGTCCCTGGAGCTGCCTTGGAGGTCCCTGGAGCTCTCCACTTTTGGAAGTCCCACTTTGCTGTGGCTCATGTAGTCAGAAGTTCAAGGTTTTGTTATGCATACACAGAACCCCTGGGACCCAGCTCCTGCATTCTAGACTTCCCAGTGAAGGGTACATGTTATAAGCTACTCACCCTTAATGATTCCTAATAAAGACATGGCATAGTATAAAGAGAATGCCAAAGGAAGAAAGGGTGTTTACTGGAATATATGAGAATATAGTTTTATTAGTACAGACAAGAGCAAGATCAGGGCAGTAAGGAGATTTTCTTCAATAGCTACCCAGTGCTGAGGAGCAACCAAGGGAATAGCGAGAGGTTTAATTACACTGCAAAACTTGATTATACTGTAGGAGTGGTCCTGCCACTATGTTGCTGACCTCATTTGTTCGTTCCTTCATCAAATATTTTTTATGTGTTTACTATGTACCAGTCATCGTTCTAGGTGCTAGGGAAAACTTGGTGAATAAGATAGGCATAGTTCTGCCCTGCTGGAGCTTTTTGTAGTGTGTCTATGGCACGATAAACAAGGAAACAAACAGGAAAGATAATTTCAGATAATGATAAGTGTTACAAAGAATACTAAACAAGGTAGTGTGAAGAAGACTGACTGGGGCTGGTGCACATCAGGGAAAGCCCTTCTGAAAAGATGACATTTGAGCTGAGCCCTCAACATGTCAGGAGACATCCAGATCAATAGATGCGGAAGGCTAAGGATATTTGACTTTCGTAGCATTCAAGTTTTTTAGTACCTTTAAATGCCCCCAATAATTCTAGTATTTGCAAGTTAATCATAAAGACAGCAAATCTGAGAGCCCAGCCCTAGGTAGATTGCTACTGAGTGGTAAATCTTGATTTGGCTGTAAGAATCTAGTGGCTCTGGTGGCTTGACTGAGGCAACAGCTCTTGGAGTTTTCTAGTTTGGTATGAGTTGGGGGAGAATAAGTAGACATTTAGGTTTAGTTTCCTGAAGCTTCATTACAAAGAGAGGGGTGTTCTGATTCTCCAATTTCACCTGTGTTGCCCATCATTCTTGCATTGGCTCCTTGCTTAGACATAGGTCCTAGAAGAACTCAGAAATTGCCAGACCTAAATCCCCACGTGATAAATGAGAAACCTGAGAGGGTTAGTGACTTGCCTCAGATTACACAGCTAGTTAGGTCAGAGCCAGGATTTGACCCCAGGCTTCCTACTCCCCAGTTCGATTTTCTTTCTCCCAGTTCACTATGACCCTGAAGATACAGGAGGTGTTTTCTGAGAGCTCTATTTCAAACATGGGTGAAATCAAAGCTTACATTTATTTTTAAAAGTAATAGTTCCCCAAATTTCTGAATAATATTAATAAAAGATAAAATATTTTATAACAAAATATATTAGTAAAATATATTGTTAAGAACAATTAACAAGTAATACATATTTTATTAAAAAAACAGCTGTGAAATTACAAGAGACCAATTAACCTTATAGTTTTGTGGTGAGAGAAAGTGAGTTATGGAAAGCTGCAGGGAGGAGGTGGTATTTAAGGAACCTGGGTCTTACAGGATGAGTAAGCAGATCTCAGGTAGTGGGGTAGGAAGTAGAGGGGAGACATCCCGGGGAGATCAGTGGCAGCAATGGGATTGGGAGCCATGTAGTGGGGATATTTGGAGAAAGAGGCCAGAGACGAGAGTAAGGCATTTGGGACCAGGCTGTAAAGGGCTTTGTTTGTTTTGCTGAGGATTTTCATCAGTATCCTATATTTAAGAGCAATTTATGTAATCTTGGAAATGTTCAACAGTTGCACTAATACAGTAGCCACATGTAGCTACTGAACAATAAAGGGCCTAGTGACTGGTGCAATGAGGAAACTTTAATTTTAGTGCATTAAAATATAAATTTAGACAAACATGGCTAGTGGCTACAATATCAGACAGTGCCATTCTGGAATATGGAGGCCATGGGAGCTTCCAAGTAGATGAGTGATGCAGTCAGGTATATGTTTAACGAATCTTCATTTGAGGAATCATTAATATGAAGCTGTATCTGTGCAATGCTAGGTCAATCAAGTAAGGAAAAAATAAATTCATTGCTTGATTTCTGCATGGACCAGCCTTAGAATGAAAACTACTATCTTAGGATAGAGGATGCTCATAAAACAGGCTTTTCTATTGTGAATGCTCATGGGATCAGAATGAATGCTACTTTAAAACCACTACTCCAGCAATAGTATTAGTAGACTTTGTATTATGATATATCAATACAAAGATAATAGTAAATTAAATAATATTTTATTAAGGCTCCCCTCTTTTCTTAGATTATTAGAATATGTGGTTACATTTCTGTAAGATTGCTGAAATTTCATGTATATATTAAGAATGTAATAATTTAAAAAATCCATTTAGGTTCATTTTTCTGTCACTAGTTAAGTTGCAAATGATGTGGCAGCTAACAGGGAAATCTTAAATCTTTCATTAGCACAGGGTGATCTCTAGAGGGACTGTGACTTCAACACACATTTTGGATCTATTCCAAGCTAGGGAGAGTATCTTTCAACATTCCTAAAGACAAAAGCAATTTGCTTAGCTCCTGATGGGCTAAAGTCTAGCTCAGTCCACTGTGGACAGAACTTGAGCTGCAATTTGGGGCACAGCACCTGCTCCCAGCTCAGGCCACCTTCGCTGTGAATCAGCCTCACCTCCTGCTCCGTGAAGTCTGGTTTGGTTTCACAGTTGATCTGGTCCAAGATTTCATAATTGGCCTGAGCCCCTGACCTCCTCTTCTCTAGAGGAGATGTAACCCTAAGGATTGGTCTTGGAATACGTCATCTTACTAGCTCTCTCCTACCTCCCACCACCCCTGGATGGTGCAGCGTTAAGCCAGGAGCCCAAATTCAGATTTGTACCACAAGAAAATTATAAGCACTATGACAAGTTTTACCTTTTGTTGCTTCTCCTTCACCATTTCTTCCAAGGCTAAGGAGATAACCCAGACTTCCCTTGGCAAGCAGCAAGACGGGATACCAAGGCACCCACAAGAGGGCAGCAAATGATTTCCATTCTAATTTTGCTTCTTTTTAAAAGTCATTTTGCTTCTCTGCCACAGAGCTTCTGTTTAGTCAAGAAATAAAAATTTGATGCTGATGTGAGGAATGGGACCTGGTTTCATTTCCCTGAGAATCCTTGTTAGTACAGCTTACTGCAGGAGCATGGCAAGTCCTGGCTGGTGGTCTGGCCCAGGCATGCAGGATAGAAAGGCCTATGGGAATGGTGCCTTTCTGTCCACTCAGCTTTTAAGGTATGGGTTTATTCCCAAGGAACATCGATCCCTGCATTTAGTCGAGTATTTATATATTTTTTTGTTTCAACATCCCTTGTTTGTAAAAACCCCTCAGATTGCGCCTCTGACTGGATTATCAAATGCTGGTCAATTGTCAGTTTACCTACCCAGGAGCCTGAACATGGAGAGGATGTCTTGAGGGTAGAGGTCCCTGGAGCTGAATGCTGCCCTGTTGATGAAGGATGTGTTCCTACCAAGTGTGGTCTAGACTGAATTGGGATTGGCCTTTACCTGCGATCCTTTGATGACCTCTTCTGTATGTCCTTCTCTCTCGAGAAAGAGTCTTCCTCTAGTGTCCCAATTCAAATCAACAAATATTTATTAAGTACCTCCACTGGCAAGTCACCAGGTAGGTGCCAAAAAGGCTGCAAAATGGTACTAATAACTTACTTATTAAATGTATATTCTTAGCTCATTTGTTGACATTTTATGAATCCCCAAAACAACCCTATGAGGTTGGTTTTATTCTCAATTTGATGATGAAGAAATTGAGACTGTGAGAAGTTAAGCAATTTGTCACTTAGCTAGTCGAGGGGAGGAGCAGGGATTTGAATCCAGATCTGTCTGACTCCAGGACCCTACTGTGCCATTATATTGGTTTTCTTCCTGGGAAAACCTTTCGTCTCGAAGACCTTGTAATTTACTGCAGTGACTTTCCAATTTGGGTATACATCAGAATCACCTAGGGAGCTTTTAAATATCCCAGTGCCAGGGCCTTGTCCCAGGCCAATTAAATCAGAATTTGTGTGTGTGTGTCTGTGTGTTTGGGTGAGGGAGGTGTCCCAGCCACTGGCACTTCAAAAACTCCTCAGGTGATTCCTCTGTGCAACCAGAGTTGGGAAGCCGTGCTTTTGTGGATGGAAAGGGATGGGTGATGCGAAATCCAGGCACCAAAATAAAGAGAGGTGTACATTTGTTTTAGGTGGGATTGCCTATCAGCATTGCTCAGCCCTCTCAAGCAGGCAGCTGACTGTTCCTGTTAAGGTGAGTACATGTGTGCAAGGGAGCTTTCATTTGATAACAGTGATAACAGCTAATTTTTTTGAGTGCTTGCCTCTTGTGACACACAGTTTCAGGTTTGTCCATCTATTTCAACTCTGTTAATCATCACAACAACCTAATACAGTAGATCCTACCTTTTCATCAAGTGTAAGATGCTGTGGGTTCTAAGATGCATCACCTTAGAGCATCTTATGTACAATAAGAAATAAAGAAGAAAACACTACCCCCTAATTTTAAGTCACTATAAATTATAATTTGTTTCTTCCCTAGAGATGTTAAGATGTGAGAAAATATGCATGTTAAAGTTAATTAAATATGGTGGTGTTATCTTCACTTATAGATGAGGAAACAGAGGCACAGACAGCTGAAGTTATGTGTCCAAGATTACTTAGCTAGAAAGTGTTATATTATGAGCATTTACCATTCATCAATATTCTTCCTTAGCATAATTTTTAATGGCAACATTAAGTTTCACATAAATATACCCTAAGTACTTTAATTACTCCCCTAATTTTGGCCGATTATATCTCGATGTAAGTTTTCATATGTATTTTTTCCAGGGCATTGCCAACCACAGATTGGGTGCTGACTATTTTGCAGCCAATGATTCAGGTAAATTATCTCCACATGCTGTCACATGAGAAAGCTGCTGGGACACCATGAGCCTCTTGTTGACCTTTCTCTTTTGCAGGGCTTTATGTTGAACTCTGAATGGTGGGATGCTGATTGGCTGCACGTTGCTGACTTCATTATCCAGCATCTCTAGTTCATCAGCCTCAGGTTGGTCCACGCTGCACTCACCTAACTGCCCTTTGAGACCTAATGAGCAATGATTGTATAGTTGATCAGGTCGTGGGTGTGTTGCTTTTCCTTTAGCGTTGAGAGGTGAGTGGAGGAATATGATCTGATGGGTGGACACACTTAATGATCAGAAACAAATTGCTAGGGCTTTTTGATTCTGGGAGGTCCAACACTCTTCACTGAAAACTCCTGATCCCTCATCAGACATTGGCATGTCTACAAGTAGCCTACACAGGTTCTTGCAGAGTCTTTCCTTCTCTTGAGTGGAGTGACACAGTTGAGGTTCAACGTTGATGAAGGTGACATAGTTCACAGGGCAGATTACCTCAGCTGGCTGACAGTTGGCTGGTCACATCTGAAAGCAGTAGTCATGTTCACTCTGAAGCAAGTGTAGCTGGACCCTGACTTCCCTGTCCTTTATCAGTCATCCTCTTTTAGTAAGTTTTAGAGTGTTTATTCCACATGCACTGGGACTGCAGCAGGCACAGCAATAGACTGAAGGCTGACCATCTGGAAGTGTTGGTTGTTTTCTTTCACATAAGATAGATTTCTGATAGGTAGGCTGATCTTCTGGAGATCCCAAGGCCATTTCTGACTTACCAGAAGTTTATTACTTCAATACATTATTTATTGATGTGTAATGAAGCACCCAAAGCTTAGGGGATTAAAAGAAGAACCATTCTATCAATTCTCATTGGTTTTATAGGTTGACTGGGCTCAGCAGTGTGGTTCTGCTTAGTTGCTTGGAATCTCTCATGTGGCTGCAACCAGATGGGGAGTGGAACTGGAGTTGTCTGAAGGCTGGACTGGGATGCTAGGAGGGCTGCACCTCTCTCCTTCTCCATGTAGCTGCTGGCCTTTCTTCTCCATGGGGTCTCTCCACCAAGGGTGTCAGATTACCCAAATGGCAGCTCAGTGCTCTCAAAAGAGCAAAGGGGAAGTTGCCAGACATTCTTAAGATGTAGGCCTGGAACTGGCACACTGTCACTTTTATTCATTAGGGAGTCACAGCAACAGCCTAGATTCACGGAGAGAGTTAATAAACTGCAGTTTTATTGGGAGAGTGACAGAATTTGTGGCCAGCTCTACTCTACCATGCACTGTATGTTCACACATTGATTGGTCATATTGGTGAAAGCAGGCTAAGAGATAGATCTCACCCCAAGGGTTCTAGGGAATGCAACCGCTTCCTTACTGTTCCTTTGGTAAAAGTGCTGAATGGGTCTTGCATGCATTGGCCAAAGTTTTCTTAGGAGGAAACCAGAAAGCGTAGTGGACTGAAGAGGGTGCATGGTGGTCTTTCTGCTTTGAGCATTGGGCATCTAATCCAAGTATAGAAAGTACAGTGAGGCACTTTTCCAAATAAAAAAATGAGTTTTTACCTAAATAGCTCTAATTTGTTTGTTGTCACATCTTGGTCTTGCCTAGTTTTGGTTGGTGAAGGTCTTCTCTCAGTTGTTGGTGCCCTTGGAGTGCTCACAGGAGAGCCTGCTGTTGGGATGAATGGCAAGAGAGAGTCTAGACTGCATTTCCTGGAGGACATGTCCTTGTCCTACATCTTAGCTGCCTTTGTAACCATTGCACCTGCCACAGTGCCTGGCACAGTGTAGACAAAGAATTCATGTGGTTTGAGCTGAACTTCAAGTGTAATGAAGAAGACAGGGCAAACCTGGGTATGCACAGATAATGAAAAGCACAAGAGAAAATAAAAGTAACATCTTCCTACACACAGCTTCATATACTGTGGGAGATGGGACAGAATAGCAATGGGGGAAAGACTTGTGACTGAAATCATGACAAACTCACTAAGAAAAACTTTAGGATGTTAATAAAAGAAAAGGGAGGGCTCAGGGGGCCAGGTGGAAAGGGGCTCAGGAAGAAGAAGAATGTAATGATGTGGCAGCTTCTCAAACTTCTATGTGCAAGAAAATACCATAGGGATCCTGATAAAATGTAGATTCTTTTTTTTTTTTTTTCTTTGGGCTGGAGTCTTGGCTCCATCGCACAGGCTGGAGTGCAGTGGTGCGATCTTGACTCACTGCAACCTCTGCTTCCCAGGTTCAAGCGATTCTTCTGCCTCAGCCTCCTAAGAAGCTGGGACTACAGGCGCCCACTATCACGGCCAGCTAATTTTTGTATTTTTAGTCGAGATGGGGTTTCACCATATAGGCCAGGCTGGTCTCGAACTCCTGACCTCATGATCTGCCTGCCTCAGCCTCTCAAAGAGCTGGGATTATAGGCGTGAGCCACCGCGCCTGGCCAAAATGCAGATTCTTATCTGGTAGTTCAGGGTGGGTTCTGAGAGTCTGCATTTCTAACACACTCCCAGGTATTGTAGGTGCTCCCTATCTGAGAAGGATCTAGTAGAAAGGAGAAAAACCAGACAAGGTTTTTGGGTGGAGAAAAGTAGGTGAAGCTTGGAGATGGTGTTCCAGGGCACTGCTAATGGAATCAGGTTTCTCTGGACAGCTCTTACTTTAGGAACATCTCTCCTGTAGGGATATGGTAGAGTATGAGGCAATACCCTTCCAGAAGGCAGGAATGTGGGAGTGAATGAGAGACAAGTGTCCCATATTTTTATCTATTCATTTTGTACAATTTCAGCAAGTTGAATTCAGGTGTCCTCTTAAATATTCCCCACTTACCACACTGCTTCTCCTAGTGCATTGGGATTCTATTTCTCTAGGATCTGCCTCAAAATGGTGTCAGAGATTCATTTCTGAGGGAAATAAGGGAATCTACTAATTTTTGAAACCACTTTGAGATTATGAACAAATGTTACAATAGTTTGAAATTAATTTGAAGACCAAAATGATGTTTGAATGCCTTCAATAGTCAACGAAGATGAGAAATACTTGAAAAATCTATTTAAAATCGATTTCCCATTTACGGCTATTGTTTATTTCCATTTTTCTTACAAGCACAACTTTCATTTTTCCAGTTTAATATGGCAAACATTCTAAGTTGTGTGGGTTACTTCCACTTCTAAGAATATGCTTCTAGTCCTCCCAGTAAAATCCTATTCATCCTAGGGGCCTGTGATACTCAATCGTGGAAGGGGAGATTATGCCCAAGAAACCACTGACCTCTACTGTAGCTAAATGGAGTTCCATGTCTCCATTCCATCTGAGACAGATAGGCCCCATGACCACCATTACTTCCATGGTGAGAGGTGTGTACAGACTGTAATGGGAGGTTAACACCCCAGCAGATTTATGACCCCAGCCAGCCCCAGTTACGGTTCAGATAGGCAGTATCTCCTCTTATCACATCCCTTTCATCATAATCTGAAAGATAGCAGTCAGGGTCCAAATAAATGATACAATTTGAGTTCAATTGGTGATTTTTTTTTTTGTTTCATAGTAGTTATTTCAAGTGTATACTCCCAAGCTCTATGAAATGTGGTGTCGTGTCTTTTCTGTGTAGGAACTGTTGATTTGTAACACTCATTTTCCAGATAATTGTTTTCCTTGGTCTTGTATTGCTGCAAACCACTCCCTGGAAATCTAATATTGTATCTTCTTCTTTTTCTTCTTTTAAAGTGGTCTAGTTTAGATAAGAAAACTTGATTTCAGATTCTTATCCAAAGCCTATGCAAACCACTTTGGTTTAGAAAATTGGTCTGTAAATCTTACAGGGTCCAGGATTTTCTTGGGCACTTACTTGGTTTTAGGTGGATCAGAAATATTGATATGGTCTGGCCTTAGAATTACAACATTGCTCTCTGAAGCCAACCTGTAATTGCAACTACTAGAATGTATTATGAAATCGAAAGGAGAGCTACTGGATGTTTTGAACTCTCCAAAAAACTTGTTTCATTTCAATTTGAGGTTAAGGGTCAGTTCTCTTTGATAGTGAAGCTTAGTTTATCCTCTGAGGCTCACACAGCCTTGTTAAGAGAGAGTTTACCTGTTCTCTGGGGGCCACAGCTGAAGGCAGCCAGATGCGGGTATTGCTGCATCTGTTTTGCGTAATGAAGTTGAGCTGTGTGTGATATGTGTGGTAGCTAGTTATAGAGAAAGCAACAATAATATACAGGGTGCTGATTTGCATGACTTGTCTGAGGAGAGAGCAATTGTAACTGCTCCTGTTTATTTTATGTCTACTGCGTGCAGGGCATTGTGCACTCATCATACCATTTAATTCCCTCAGCAGCCCTGCAATATAGGTGTTATCATTCTGATTTCCCAGTGGAGGGAACCTAGGCTCAAAGAAGAGAGGTCTTTAACTTTCTTCCAGGATGACAATGGGAGAAGCTGTCAATACAGCTAGCATTAACAGTGTCCTGAAATTAATTGGATAGGTCTCCATCCTCAACCTCATCCATCTCTTTAGTTTATTGTCCTGTCCCCCATCCTACCTTTCCCCTTTGAGAATCCAGGAAGGGAGAGAGGGGTGGAAGAAGGAGAGGCAGAAAAAGAGGATGACGTTAATAGTTCGAGCTAAGAAAAGGACTGAACAGACTCAGAAGGAGGCAGCAAATGGAGTAAAGCTGCCCCAACTTAGTCATCCAGGCTCCGACACACATGAGCAGTTTTTCATGGGGAGGAGACATGAGTGGGCTGGCCAAATTTGTCTTTGGCTGTTTGAGTAGCACTGAGGGCAGGGCGGCAAAGTGGGTCCCTGGGCTGAGCTCTTCTTGGCATCATTGCCAGTATCAGTGGTGCTGTGGTGGGGAGGATACAGGAATCTTCCATTAGTGTAGGGGGTGCTCTCCTATTCTTTAAAGATTCATTAACATTCAGAGCTAAGACGGTTTCCTTCCCTCTTTTTTTTTAGTACTGGAGCCAGACTTTCGGGGAAGCATTTCTTTTACTTTGTTAGACCTATATTCTGCCTCAGGGGTGAGGATGCTGCTGTAAGCAGCTTCACAAAGCTGTGGGATGAGGCACCACAAAGCCTGGCTCTGGAAAGCTCGAGCCTTCCTTATGGAATCCTCCATAGTGACTCTGGTTTGCAAGGCAGCTTGTCTTCCTTCTTTGAAACTGGGTTTATTCGCTAAGCAAAGGCAGCACCATCACATCTTGCTGATGCTCCGAGCAAACATCAGTAGCAAATGATCCTCTTAAACAAGTGCAAGTGGCTGGAGGCAATGCTGGGGGCTAAAAATACAGAATGGACTAAAACCAAAAACAACTGCTCAGCCTCAATGCCACCGAGCATCAGAGGGCCCCTTCAGAATACTGATGTGAGGAAGGGTCCTTAGAATGGGCAGCTGAAGGAGCAGGAGAAGGGACTTCTTTCCATGTGAGCAAACTGCTCACATTCTAGGGCACAGAGTCAATGACTTCAGCTCTCCTCTTTGTTTAGCTGGAGAGAGGCTCAGCCACTGAGCCTGACTTGATGAGGGAATAAGAGATCTGGACCTGAGCTGAAAAGGGAAGTACTCTCTGCACACTCTGGCTCCTTTATTCCAGCAAGCAATATTCCTGTGGGCTCAACGGGCTATTTTCCATTCCTCCCAATGGATGGCAGAAATCCTCACTCTTGGTGTGAAATGGTCTATGTTTTGATTTTGGAAAAGGAAACCCTTGGATATTTTTCATGTAATCTTTTTTCAGTCTTAGCATTCCTGTCAGTAGTTTATTCTAAATCACAGGAATTCACTTTTGTGACAGAAGCCTGGGACGGGTCTCTTTGCATGGAAGGGAAGTCAGGGAGTGTTTATGGCTGGTGCCACTGGGTTACTAGTATGCTAGGTTACTAGTGTAACTGGGGCTCGAACTGTGTTACTGGCTTACTAGTATGCTGGGTTACTCATGGAAGTAAGACCACATGAGGATTCAAGCTTCTCAACCACAGAGCTATTGCAGAGTGGCTGTGTTTTTAGATGACTTGTAATAGTCCATGGGATTTGCTGTTTCTACTTTTCTTGGAATCCCATTTCACTTCCCATTTCTCTTCTCTGTAGTCATTAGGATCCTGTTTGCTTCCCAGGTTGTCTGGTTTTCAGCCTTTGTTTTTTCCTCTCCCGAAGGCTGTATCTTGCTGGACAAACCTGCAGTTCTCAGTTCTGTCCTGGGCTTGAGGATTAATCCTGCCTCCAGGCAGGGGGAGATTTACAGGAGTTCCAGGTCCCAGCAGCAAGCAGCCTTTGGTGCTAGTTCTGATTCCTGAAGCTGTGTGCTGGTCATGAGATATCTTGCTCTATGCCTTAGGTCTGAGAATTGAGATTTTGTCTAGGACTAAAGACCCATTCATTGTTGTTTTCTCCTTGCAGAAAAATATCCATTTGTTGTTGTTATTTTCTTCTTAGTTTTTGTGTTATTTGCCTATGTATTAATTATTGTTTCAACAATCTTCCATTTATTTTGGTAGTTCTCTCTGTTCTCTCTCCTTGAATACCTTCCTCCACCTGCTGATGGATCTCCCTGATACTACCTGCCTGTTGGGGCTGCTGAGTTTCTCCTGCATCCTTCATTCCCCTTTATAGGTAACTTAATATCTCATATCTCTTTTTGGATTCTGAATAGGGAGACACATTCATTTACCCATCCATCCAGAAGTTACTGAGTCCCCCCTGTGTGCCAGGCATTATCTTCTGTGACTACACTCTTTAGAGATCATGTTGCACCTGACAGCTGCAGCGCATACAACCATGTCTATCCTCCAGCGCCACTGAGTGGGTCCAAGAATGGAACATTCTCTTCCAGCGTCAGGCCCTTCCAACTTCTTTGCCTTGTTTTACTTTACTGAGATTTCTCATTTGCCTGCATGTGACAGAATCTTCAACTTTTTCATTTTTTCTTTTATGACTCTGGTCACCATTACGGAAATATTTAGTGTAACATTTTAAACTCATTATTATTAACTTCATGATATTTCTTGAACTTCATTTATTAAGATTCATGACCTGGTGAATGTAAACATGATTCTGTTGTCTCAGGTACATTCAAATTTCTTTAAGTTGTACAATTAGTTCATATTAATTCCACTCCTACCTTTGTCTTAATAAGTTTGAATGTTGTGTCCATCTGAGAAATGTTGTATCACTTTGTCAAAATCTCTCATATTTTAAAGTTTCTTATGAATGGAAAAACAAGGTCAAAAAGAATAAATGTCTTGCCCAACTCAGACAACCTCAGAAACTGAGAAAACTAGAGAGTGCTCTCTCTTCAGACTACTCAATAGGTATTATTTTTCAGTTTTCCGAATAAATTGCTTAAAATTATTTTCTTTGAAGCAGTGGGTTTGTTATGCAAAACAGTAAAGTGGTAGAAAAAAGTTAAAAAATTAAGAAGACATAAAATTATTGGTTTAAGGGAGTGTAGAAAGACATAATAGTCTAAAAACATGGCAAAGTAGTTCTTATTTTAAAAATAATGGCATGTATAATAAGTCAGTCCAATTGCAAGTGCTAAATGCACAATTAAGTGCTAAAGTCAGTGAACTGGTAGAATACTATAATTTCTCAAGAGCTAGAGATTGTTAGTCTTTGAGGAAGATTGTTGGAATATGGGTGACTTCTGTAGATGGCCAGAGGTCCCTGAATTAGGGTGGAGACATTTAAAGACAAGCAGATCCCGCTGGAATCCCGGATCCTTTCCATTTAAGCTTTCAGTCAGAGTGTTCTGAATGAGCACTTGAATAGTTAGTTCCTCTGGGCAAAGTCCTTAGATGTGGTGGCTGAAAGCCAGTCTTATTATTTCCACAGTCCTCCTTCTGTCTCTTAACTTTATAACAATTCCCTTGATTCCCAAATGAAATGTTTCTGTCCCGTCAGAGTCTTTGATCTGGCATGTCAGCGTCACATCGCGTCACCTGCTCTCCTCTCTTCTTGCTGTATCATCTTACTCTGTTTCTTCTGAACGGCATGCCCCTTCACATTTGGATGACTATGTTTGAAAGCGCTGTCTCGACATTTTCCCTATTGTATCATGTGTCTTGTGCTCCCACTCTCTGTCGGAAATGAGAATGCACAGTTAAAAGAACCCCAAACATTGTAGTTAACAAGATAGGACAGAAACCTTCTTATGTGTGCCATGCATTGGAATGCATTTGAAGAGACACTCTTAAAACAAAGCACTTCTCTTTAAAGTGTTGCATATGCATTCATTTAAAGTAGTTACATATACAGTTTAGAAAACTCTAAATTCTATATAGACTCTGACTGTTTTGCTTTAAAAACAATTGTTTAGCTAAGATCTACCTGTTAAGTTATACAGTTTTCTCTGTTCTTTATTACAGCATGATATATATTATTTATTATAGAGTAGTATTATAGTATGTTATATGTTAAGTGTAATTACAGTCATCTGAACGCTTGTCAAATTTATAATAGGTTCTACTTATTAAGCACATACTATGTGGAACAGTGGTTTTTAAACTTGGGTGCTACACCTCAGAATCACCTAGGGATATTCAAAGAAATCCCAATACTCAGGCCACACCCCAGAGCAATTTAATGAGACTCTCTGGGGGTGGAACTCAATCATCAGTATTTCTTAAAGTTCCTCAGATAATTCAAAGGTCTAGTCAAGTTTGAGAACCAGTGATATATATAGCTTTGCTACTGATAGCTTGGTCTGTGTACCAGCAGTATTGGTATCACCTGAGAGCTTGTTGGAACTCTAGTGCTCCATCCCAGTCTCACTGTATCAGAGCCTGATTTTTATCAATATCACAAGATGTTTTCTTTTTCTTTCTTTTTTTTTGAGATGGAGTTTCGCTCCAGGCCCAGTCACGATTTGAACCCTGGTCTCTGGTACTCCCCATAGCGCCACACTGCTTCTAAGTATAGATTTTTGATATTTTCTATAGTAAACCAAATCGACAATAATTCTTAAACTTTTACCCTATTAATAAAACCTTTGAATCTATCTATCAAGAAAAGCAATAAATGCAAGATTGCCTGATAAAATATAGTTCTTGGCAAAAAACATAATAAGGTGAAGAGTTGTTTTTCAGTTACGGAAGCAGAAGGCAGGTGGCATGATAAAAATATTCCTTTTTGGTCATGAGTGAGTCCCAGGGGACACACTGAATATTCACTTTAAAGAGAAAATATCCTTAGTTAGTTATTTGGGGGCTCTAGTGTGCCTGACTTCGGTAACTGGTCTGGAAGAACCAAAATTGCCTGTAGGGGAGCTTCACGTAATTCTTCATACCTTCTTGTCATCTTGCTCAGTTGTTTGCCTCAAGGGCATCATTCTGGGGCTACTTGTACAAAGATTTTGTGTAAGCAATTCATAGGAACTCTGGTAGCTGGGATGTGAAGAATATTTGATATGACTGGAAATGTGCTCAGTGAAGTATATTGTAGGTACTGATATTATTTCAACCAAATAATAATAATGATCTGCCACTGTAGGTCTCTTCCACAAATCTAACTCTTGGCTATACTGCATCAGTTTGCTTCCCAAATTAGAGATGGTTTTAATGAAATGCTTCTAAGATACATTAGATATGGTAAAATGGAACAGGTGAAACAAACCCTACCTTTTCACTTAATTATTTTTTCTTTTCATTAAAAACCATAAATGTGCAACAGGTTTTTAAAACTACTGCTTAATATTCCATTCTTTGGATATGTCATAACTTGCTTCACTATCATCATACCTCAGGATATCTCACTTTTTTCTATTTTATATAAACCTCTTTCTTCTTAAATCTTTGCTCACAATTTAAAAAAATTCCATAGGATCTATTTCCTAAGTGGCAATTGTGAGCCAAAGAGTATAAACACTAAAATCAGAAAGGCAATGCATTCATTGACAATGAGAAATGTAATGATCAAAAAGACCATTCATCAACACATTTTCCCCTTGTCACACAGAAGTGCAGATATTTTGAAGGCTCATAATATATTTTGTGAAGTTTTCTTCCAGAGGATTTATACAAGTGTACATTTGTACCGAAGAGGTAGCATCTGAACACCAGCACCACCGCAGACCTTGTGATGGGGCATCTGTGTGGTGGGACAGCTATTGGAATGGGTGGGTTGGAGGGGGAGTGGTAGGATGGGGAGTTAGCCCTTGCTCTGCACCTTTGAGCTCTGCAATGTTGGCAATCATCTGTAGTTGCCGTTTTCTGCAAAACTCCCTCACACTAGTTAGCAAAAACAGGAATTTCAAGAGGATGGAGCAAGCCATAGGCCCAACTGGATCCAGTGGCTTTATGGATATCAATAGAACATTGTTGCTCTCCCAGATTTTCTTTATTTCTTTGGATTCATTTTCAGGTTTAGTTTTTCTATTTTGTGGCAAAAGATATGCCTAGGTAGTTTCAAACTTAGATATTACTCATGAATAGTGATTGAAAGTAAAAGGTATGAAATCTTCTCTTTCTGTATCTATAGGAGTTCCTGAAAAAGATTTGAATTGACTGTGTTTATGTCACATATTCATCCCTGAACCAAGCCCTGTGTCCTGCAGGATGTATATTCTAATTGGCCAGCCAGAATTATATGCCCGTATCTGATTGGTACATTTTCTTCTGCTTTTTAAAGAAAATGTTTAGGTAAGACCTAGCTGCTAAATTTTATAGTTCTCTCTGCTCTTTATTACAGCATGGTGTATGCGATTTATGATAGAATGGTATTATAGGGGGTTATATGTTAGGCATGATCACAGTCATTTGGAGCCTCATCAAATTTATAATTACAATCAGTCCTACTTATTAAGTACATACTATATGAAACAGTGGTTTGCAAACTTGGGTGCTGCACTTCAGAAGCACCTAGGTAGATTTTAAAAATCCCAGTGCTCAGGCCACACCCTAGACTGATTAAATGAGAATAGATCTCTCTCTTCCAGATAGGGAAGGGAAGCTAGCTTCCCAAAGAGTTAGAGGATAGCCAAAAAAGTGAACGATGTAAAAGGCAGAAATCATTCCTTGTGTGATTCTCTGGGTTCCAGTTTCTTCAACAATAAAATAAAGAAAAAATTTAGAAGTCTCTAAATTTCTTTAAAAAACTTTACTGATCTGATTCTAAAACTAATGTATGTTGGTATAAAAATTAAAGCAATATATAAATTTATAACGTAAAAGAGGAAAACAACCAAATCACTTCCAATGTAGTATTTTCTAGGTTTTTCCCCCATGCATAGCCAATATTTATTTTATAAAATTTTATCTACTATTGGGCTTATTACTTTTATATTTGATAATATATACTGGATATTTACCTTTATTAGCATATATAGATCCATTTTATTTTTTAAAAGTGCAATAGGATTTAATTGATGAATGTACCATACTTATTTAACCAATCCCCTTTTGATGGCTTATTTTTAGTTTTTGGATATTTTAAACAGGTAATACATTTTGTATTTTGTACACTAATAGTTGAAGGACATATTTCTGCAAGTGAAACTTATGTATCAAAAGGTATTTGTATTTTAAATATAAGTATAATATTAATTATTATAACAATATCCTTAGCATCAAGAAACTGATATTCAGAGACTACGTTCACGTTCCAAGGTTACTTCATTAGGCCATTTTCACACTGCTGATAAAGACATACCTGAGACTGGGTAATCTACAGTGAAAAAGAGGTTTAATGAACTCACAGTTCCACATGGCTGGGAGGCCTCAAAATCATGGCAAAAGGTGAAAGGCACGTCTTACATGGTGGCAGGCAAGAGAGAATGAGAGCCAAGTGAAAAGGGAAACCCCTTATAAAATCATCAGTTCTCGTGAGACTTATTCACTACCATGAGAACAGTATAGGGAAAACGGTCCCCATGATTCAATTCTCTTCCTACAGGTCCCTCCCACAACATGTGGAAATTATGGGAGCTATAATTCAAGATGAGATTTGGGTGGGGACACTTCCAAACCATATCAGTTACCCAGCTAAACAGTGGCAGTGGAGACCATGCTTTCTCCACTGCCACACACAGCCTCTCTGGGCAGTCTCTGAGGCACTTTATCACTGTGGCATGTGCCTACAGAGGAGGAGCCTAGCCTACGTCTCAGGGGTTTGGGGAATGGGATTATGACCTGGAGTATTTGGAGATAACCTCCTTACCTCTCATGACAGTGCATGTGAAGGATTTCTAGTGGCCAAGGAAACAGACATGAATGAGTAAAGTTTTGCAGGGTCTTCATTTTTGAAGGCCTCTGAAAGCCTAGGTGGAGGAGACAGATAAAATTGCGGGGTTGATGTACTCCCTTGGTGTTGAAACAGAACCCAGGACAGACCTGGGTTCAGCAAAAGGTGGGAGGAGGGCTTAGGCTGCCACTTCTGCCTCAATCTGGGTGGCTCTGTTCTTATTTGTTTCATATATTGTGCTTCTGGGTAAGATTTCTCTTAAGAGAGGAACTTTGACCTTAAAAAAAGTTTGGAAATCACTGATCTAGTTTAATACTCCATTTAGTGATGAGGAAACTGAGGCTGAGCCAGGGTTTCCAGATGTATTAGTCTGTTCTCACACTGCTATAAAGAACTACCTGAGACTGAAGAATTTATGAAGGAAAGAGGTTTAATGGGCTCACAATTCCATGCTGTACAGAAGCATGGCTGGGAGGCCTCAGGAAACTTACAATCATGGCAGAAGATGAAAGGGAAGCAAGCATGTCTTGCCATGGTGGAGTAGGAGAGAGAGAAAGAGCGACGGGGCAACTGCCACGCACTTTTAAACCATCAGATGTCATGAGTGCAGTGTGGGGAAAATCACCCCATGATTCAATCACCTCCCACCAGGTCCCTCCCCTAACACATGGGGATTACAATCTGATATGAGATTTGAGTGGGGACACAGAGCCAAACCATATCACCAGATAAAATGCATAATGCCAAATCAAATTTGAATTTCAAATGAACAAAGAGTAATTTTAAAGTATAAGTATGTCTCAAATATTGTGTGGGACATACTTACATTAAAACTAATTCATAAACTGGGCATAGTGGCTCACTCCTATAATCCCAGTGCTTTGGGACGCTGAGGTGGGAGGATTGTTTGAGGCCAGGAGTTCAAGACCAACCTGGGCAACATAGTGAGACTCCCGTCTCTACAAAAAAATAAAAAAATTAGCTGAGAGTGGTCACATGTACCTATAGTCCTAGTTACTGAGGAGGCTGAGGTGGGAGGATTGCCTAAAGTCCAGGAATTTGAAGATACAGTGATCTATGATCGTGCCACTGCACTCTAGCCTGAGCAACAGAGTGAAACTCCATCTCTTAAAAAAAATTACAAAAATAGAATTCATTTTTGCTAAATCTGGCAGCCTTAGGCCTAGAGAGCATAACTGCCCTGTCCAGGAGATGGTCAGGCCTAATGAGGGGAAGCAGGTGTGGGTGGGGCTGGTTCACATGAATGGCCTCCTGTCCAGAAGTGGGCTTTGGCTGGACTATCTTGTATAAGTACAGATCCTCCCTTGCTGGGGGCCTAGAGATTCACCAGAGCCACATCTGTTTACAGGCTGGTATGAGAGGTAAGTAGAGGCAGGCCTGGGTGAGGCCAGGACCCTACTGGCCTTCACTGTGCAGGGCCTCCTCCCTGTGTATCTTCTGTCCTCTCTTTCCAGCCATGCCCTGGGGTCTGGGGGCTGTGCAGCCCATGGCGCAGAGGGTGGGGGGTGATCTAGCACTGGTGCTGGTGAAGGGGACACACTGAATCCTTGTCATGAAAGCTTCCAGCTTTCTCTAAAGGCGGGGAGTGAGAAGCGAAGGGAAGAGCGAAGAGGGCTGGGGGTTAACAAGCAAAATCACTCCAATGATCTCCCTTCTTCCTCCTCCCTGACTCGGCCTCATTAACACAAGGAGGCTAATATTTAGCTCTGGAGTGCAGGCAAGACTGAAGGTCTCTCCAGGGGCTCTGTTAAATGTCATAAATTGCGAGCACACAGCTTGAGGAGTTTGTGAATGGCATCTGAGCCCGAGGCCATCTAGTAATATTTATACTGTGGAAGTTCAGCCTTTTTCCTCCTTTAAAAAAAGTTTCCGATTTGTTTCAGAAGATGTCCATCTTAATCACTGTTTCTGGGGTTCTAATGGGAAAGACTCTCCCTTCCCAGGTGTCAGGGGAAGGCTGTGGAAGAAACAGGCTTGGTGCTCAGGGAGGTGCTCGCAGGAGTACAGATTCGGGGCCTTTTATTCTGCCAAATGCCTGGTTTCTATTTGGAGTACTGTAGAGCCAGGAAGCAGGTCTCTAGCTGTCCCAGACCAAGAGAATTATTCTTATTTTGGTCAATAAAACCCAAAGAAAGAATTAAATATGCCTATTTAGCCATGTCCAAAGATGATGGAATAGAACCCCCAATTACAAAATAATAATTAACTTGTACCTAGAACTTATTTGCCAGGTCCTGTTTTAAGATATGTATACATGTATAAATATACACACACACACACACACACACACACACAGAGCTTATATTTATAGAGCATATGTATGTGCATATATATATATATCATATATACAGTCATTTTATTCTTGGATCAATACTGCTATAAGGTAGGTACTGTTACTATACCAATTTTATTCTTTTTATTTTTTGCTTTCTCTTTCTTACCCTAGGGAATATTATCCCTATTTCAAAAGGCTGAGAAGCTGACGCTGGGCCCTTTGCCATTAATCTGTTACAAACCCAAGCAGAGGATCATGCTAGCTGTTCACACCTAGGTAGGCTTTCCAGGCCGTTCACAATTTGTCCCCTACTTGCCTTTTTAGTTATCTTGCACAACTCGTCTTCAGGTCTGACTCAGATACAACAGATCTCACTGTCCCTGAGCTCATGAGACACATCCCTCCTCTGACACTGGGCATACTGGGGATGTTGAGAATGTTGTCTGCCCATTTCATATATATATATACACATACACACACACACACACACACACACACACACACACATATATATATTTTTTAATTTTAGAGATAGAGCCCCCCTCTGTTGCCCAGGCTGGAGTACAGTGGCATGATCTCAGCTCACTGCCACCTCTGCCTCCCAGGTTCAAGCGATTCTCCTGCCTCAGCCTCCCGAGTAGCTGGGATTACAGACATGCACCACCGAGCTGGGCTAGTTTTTGTATTTTTAGTAGAGATGGGATTTTGCCATGTTGGCCCTGCTCGTCTTGAACTGACCTCAAGTGATCCTCTTGCCTCAGCCTTCCAAAGTGCTGGGATTACCGGGCCTGGCCTCTGCCCACTTCTTCACAAAGAAAAAAAAAATCCATCCAGTCTTGGAACAGATTCCACCTTTTACCAGGCATCCCCATGGCCATTCCAGACCCTAGAGATTTCTCTCTTACTCTGAATTATTGAAGAACTGCTCTTTGGTTGTTTAAGCCCATATGGCCTTGAAGTTGCTGTGTACTGCCACTCAAGTCTTGTGCTGCTTCTTCATGACTCATTTCTCTGCCTGCTCCCTAACTAGATTATAAGCTCCAGGAGGGAAGAGGCTTTGTATGAATATAATGGTCCCTCAGTCAAGAGACTCTGAAGGATAAAAGGCTGAGAGCTTTATTTTACACTTTTTGACTCTTTAAAAAAAAAAGTCACAAAAGAGCTAAGGGGTGCTCCTCCTGGGCACTTGGGATACTCCTGGTGTCTCTTGAAATAGGTAAGATCTGAGATTTAATACTGAATATAAGCAGACAGCTCCCTCACTTATGAAAGGTCTTACACAAATTCCTCAAATTATTTCCTAAAACACGTAATAAAATGTTAGAGTTGCAGAGAGTTTGCGCTCTTGCAGGAACAGAGTCATATGTTGTGTTATTTGTGTGATTTTCCCACTCATTGCCATTGATTGTCCTTCCTGTCAATCGCAGAGCTGTGATTCAGGAGAAGCTAAAAGTCTGACTGAAGATGTAAGGGTCAAGTACTCTGATTTCGAGTCTAGTCATGGGTGGATCACCGTTAAATCCATGGGTTTATTTTTTCAATGTGAGAGTGAGCTCTGAGGTGGGATTGAAAGGAACAAAGAAGTCTGCTGGAATGTTTTTGACGCTCATGAAATTTGTGTTGGGCAAGACCTTTTCTAACTGAACAGTTGGATATCCCAGTGAGCATTTGTGATTTGTGAGTCTGAGTAAGATAAACCAAAGGTGAAATATTTCTGGAAATGTGTAAACCTTTTGTACCTTCATCCTTTGTGAGGTCTCCAAGCTCACAGCTGTGGTGCTTCTGGTCTTATCTTTCCCCACTGCCCAGAGAGAGCTGTTTGTCCTCTCTTGGGGAGACAGGGGAGACCTTCTGGGGACAGAGAGTAATGACTGCTTTTCTTTTATATTCATCATCAAGATTGATAATCCACATATAATTTCCACACTAGGCCATAAGTATGAGTAATTATGTAATAATTAAATGTCCTAAGGGTAGCAAGGACTGTTAAAAGAGCAATTATGTAGCTAACTCCTCTGGGCTGCCTTTACTCTGAGTTGAAATGAAATAATTTTAAATATTACATCAAATTTCAGAATGAACACTTCAGAATCCTCTTCTATTACGCACTGTTTACCTGTAATGGAACTTCTTCGTTCTTTCTCAAAATTTAATGAACAGATACCAGTGTTAGGACTTCAAACAAGGGCAGGGACAAAGGACATTCAAGTGTGTGTTAGAATATGGGCTGTTGCTACCTACCTGTGCGCGTGTTTCTACTAGAATCCTGCCAGTCTTTGAATATCTAATTCAAATGCCACTTCCTCTTGAAGACTTCTGTGATCCCAGTCATCTCGAGTACCTCCCGCCTCATAATACTTTTTACTTCTATAGTAGAATCTGATAAAGTCTGTCTTATTTTATGGTGATTTGATAATAAAAGTAATAAAAACTTTTCTATAGTGCTTTACAATTTATAAAGCATTTCTCACATATAATAACTCATTTTAATCCTCATGACAACCTTGTGAGGGTACATAATGTTGCACATTTATAGATGGAGAAATGAAAGCTCAGATGGCTTAAAAAAGGATGGCATAATGGCTAATGCCTGTAATCCCAGCACTTTGGGAGGCCGAGGAGGGTGGATTGCTTGAGCTCAGGAGTTTGAGAGCAGCCTAGGAAACATGGAAAACCCCATCTCTACCAAAAATACAAAAAATTAACCAGGTGTGGTGGCATACCCCTGTGGTCCCAGCTACTTGGGAGGCTGAGGTGGGAGGATTGCTTGAACCCAGGAGGCGGAGGTTGCAGTGAGCCGAGATCGTGCCACTGCACTGCAGCCTGGGTGACAAAGTGAGACTCCATCCCTCAAAAAGACTTTTAAACTAAAATGCTTATAGGACTCAAGCAAGTACAAATGCAAAACAAGCTGTTCAGGTGTGTGTCAGTCAACAGAAGCTAACATATGTGCAGTAACAACATGATCCCTAAATCTTGGTGGCTTGTATCAATACATGTTTATTTCTCAACCAGGTTTCATATTCACTGTAGGTTAGCTGTGGCCTTGTTCTATGCATCTTCACTTTGGGTCCAGGCTGACTAGCAGGGATGTTGTAAGAGGGGGGCAAAAGATAATATGATGGAGCCATGTCCTGGCTTCTAAAGATCCTGCCTGGAAGGGGTACACATCTCTTCTGCTTACAAATCAGAACACGTCCTTTTCCTCAGGCTTCTCTAGCAGATCGATACAAACCAGACATTCATCCTGCATTAGGAATTGGCCAACTAATGCTCTTGGGCCAAATCTGGCCCACTGCCTGGCTTTATACTGCCCATGAGCTAAGCATGGTGTTTAGATTTTTTTAAAGCTGAAAAAAATCAAAAAGAATAATATTTTGTGACACATGAAAATTGCATGAAATTCAAATTGCAGTGTTTTTGTGAATAAAACTTTATTTGGATGAAGCCACTCCACTTGTTTGTTTATGTATTATCTTTGGCTGCTTTCACGCTACAATGGTAGAGTTGAGTAAATGACAATAGAGATGTAGGCCCTCAAAACCTAAAATAGTTACTATCTTGCTGCACTCTGTCCTATAGCCCTGGTCAGAAGTCAGCTTGGTCCAGTAGGAGCTCAAGTGTTAGACTCAGCAGCTTTATTTATTTATTTTGCAGTCTCTGTGGACAACATATTTGGAATCCAGGGCCACTGCATACTGCTATGCATTCCAGGGTGTGCAGGGTGTGTTGTTCAAATAGCTTCCAGTAATACTGGAGCCCACCAGTGGGAATTAGGGTCTATATGCAGAAAGTTTCTTAACTCTTACTTGGAGCTGGCATATGAATTGTAACTCATGCCAAAAATACCCCAAATAATGTTAAAAAGCAATGATAGCCTGGGGGAAATATTGGCAGCCAATATGGTAGACCAAAAAGGAATATTTTTAATGCATAAGGAACTCTTACAAATTAATAGGAAAAAGAGAAATACCATAGTATAAAAATGGATAGAGGTTTTAAATATTTAAGCAAATGTCCAATAAACATATGCTAACATGTTTAATCTCACTAGCAAACAAATAAATGCCAATTAAAACAATGAGCTCTCAATTTTATCTATTCAATAAACCTGGAAATGCCCCCCATTGGCAAAGGTTTGGGGAATAGGGCACACTTTACAAGTGTGTACAATTTTTTATGGGCACTTGTTAATATGAATCAAAATCTTAAAAACATGCATATTCTCTGTCTTTGTCTACTTCAAGGAATTAATTTTAAATAAATAAGAAATAAGAAAATAATAAGATACACAGAGATTTATGCACAAGAACTTTTACTACTGATGTTATTTCTGATAGAGAAATTTAGAAACAATTTAAAATATCTGACAGTAAATACTACATGACCATCAAAATTATGTTTTAGAAGAAAAATTAATGTCATGGGAAACCATTTAAGATATATCATTAAGTAAAATAAACAGGATACAAATAGTGTATATAATATGCTCCCATTTTTGTAAAAAACAAAAATAAAAGCAGGAGAGACAAATACATACGCACAGAAAAGACTGGAATATCTATTCACTGAAATAACAGCGGTTGTTGATGAGTTGCTGGATTTTGATTAATTTAAATTTTTATATTTATGCTTTCCTATACTTTTGTAATTTTCTACCATTAACATATATTATTCTGGTAATCAGAAAAAGTATATAAACATATTTGAACTGAAGAAACTTTTGACTTAAAGGATGCTTAAGACTATATTGGGGACCATATAATCCTTCCCATTATTTCCTTCAACTTTGAGAAAATCACTTTTTGAAAATCACTTTTTGGGTGAGTCATGGGCTTTGTTTTCCTTGATGCATTAAAAATATGTGTGATTCCCAATCATGCTGGAAAAGCAACATCCTGCTTTGGTCTCTCTTGCCTGGGTATTAAAGAGAAAATATTTTGCCTGGATGTTCTGAAATATTTAGAAAATTGCATCCGCTCAACAGACCACTTTATTACTGTAGTTATGGCTTAAGACAATCAGAGGCTGGAATGCTTTCTGAGATTGAATGGTCCAGCTTTGAACAGAAACGGTCTTCTAAATTGGGGTAGGAACCTACAGCATGTGGTTTTCATTGAGAGTCAGCACACTACCCCACCCCCTGAGAAGAGTGGACACCTCCTCGCTGCAGCCCAGGCATGTCTGAACATCAGGGGGGAACAGCTGGGTGTGGTGCCTCACTTTGGAAAGGTTGCTGACTGCTATTCAAGAAAATTGCTTTAGTTCTTCCGTTTTTGTTACTGCTGATTTGGCCCTGGTTGTTCATGGCAAATGAATTTCTAAGCAAAGTTTGGAGAAAGTTGAATACTTTTCTAGGGTCTACAACTAGAAAGCTAGAAGTTCTGGGCAAAAGCCTGTTCATTTCTTCTGAAAGTCACCTTCTGCTCAGCCTCTTGGATTTGGTTCTATCTTGATTACCTGACATTTCACATCTCTGGTGTTTTGATGCTTCCTGTCATTTCTCAGGATCCACATTGCCCTGGATCAGGGGCTCACAGGCAGATGGGGCAGATTGAGGGGAACTGAGAAGAGGCCCATACTGCTCCTGGTTGGTCAGCCTTCAGGGGCTGAGGGAGGACTGCTCTGGCCAGAGCAGCAGAGATTCCAGGGAGCAAGGAAGTAGCCTGGCAGAGGCCAGCTGGTCAGCGAGGGAGATCCCCAAGACAAAGCAGCTGGGAGTAGGGGCGGTCCCAGCAGAGAGGCGGATTCCAGCAGGGGGAGTCCTGGGCTGGCTATGAACTCCCTATGAGGCCAGTCAGTGGGTAGCAGGGCACAGCCACCAGGTGAGTGCTCAGAGAAGGTGGATGCTTAGCGCAGGAGTGGAGTGCCATTGGCCCTGTGGTGCAGTGGAAAGGGTATGGGTTTTGGAATCAGAGAGACCTGGTTTGATCCTGGATTTACCACTGTGTGCTATTTAGTAAAACCCTCAGGTGTTTTACCTGTAAGTATGTGTAACACCAGCTAGCTCTGTGCGGTAAGTTGTATAATGCACTCAGGACAGAGTAGACACACAAAGGGACATTCTTAAACTTTTGCCCTGGCTCAGGATTATAACTGGGAGCGGGATGGGCTTGCAAATGGAGTACTGGTGGTCACAGAGAAGGGACTTGCTGTGCTGAGGCTGGAAGCCAGGCTGGGTCTCATACTGTTCATAGGAATTTTAGCAAAATATTCCCGTTGGGTTTTTCTACTTACTTTAGCAGTGGCTTCTCTTTGGAAGCTCACAGAAAAGATTAAATTAGAAAAAGATTAGAAAAGAATTAGGTGGTCTGAAGAGCAATTGAAGTTTGACTTGTAGAGAGGATTCTGAGATGCACTAGAAATTCTTGCAAAGAAATGAAATTACAAACATTTATTTAGAGAGACAATAAAAATATAAAGATTGTTCATCTCACACACTGTCAATGTCAGTTAAGCAAGTATGGACCTATTCTTTATACCCTTTGCAAATCATCTAAAAAGATCTATTGAGGTCAATTTTTTTATTAGTCCATAAAATTACTACCTGGTATCCCTTTCAGTACTGCCTGAAAACATTTCCACTTTTCAGCCAGGTGTGGTGGCTCACGCCTATAATCCCATCACTTTGGGAGGCTGAGGTGGGTGGATCACTTGAGGTCAGGAGTTTGAGACCAGGGTGAAACCCTGTCTCTACCAAAGAATACGAAAATTAGCTGGGCATGGTGGCGCGTGTCTGTAGTCCCAGTTACTTGGGAGGCTGAGAGGGGAGAATCGCTTGAACCTGGGAAGTGGAGATTGCAGTGAGCCAAGATCGCACCACTGCACTCCAGCCTGGGCGACAGAGTGAGACCCTGTCTCAAAAAAAGAAAAAAAAATTCCCACTTTTCTATAGTCACTACATAGTCCCTACTACAACATTCAGCATATATATATATTATATATATATATAAAATATATATATTATATATATGCATACACACATATACACACACACACACACATATATGTATATATAAAAAACATATATGTGTGTATATATATAATGATGCCACCTCCTTGAAGCCTGCAGGGACTGTGCCACACTCACTTCTGTGTCCCTGACCTTTAGCTCAGTGCTTGCCTCTTCCTAACAGGCCTTCAATAAAGGGTTGCTGAGCTGACCTGAATGTTAAATAACATTTTTAAATGAATGTGCTCCACTCCACAAAAACCTAAAGAACAAAAAGATTCATGCAACAGATACATGCTGGTGGAATATAAGGAAAGTTAAAATTCACACTACAAATGAGTTCTTATTTTACATAGGAAAAATGATTTTAAAGATAAAGTTTCTGTACTGAATTAAAAATAAGATCCAACATTGGGAAATTCATCTTTGCATCAATTTTTTGGAACACGTTAATTTCATGAACTGAGGAACATAGATACTTCTTTTTCGATTAAAGTTAGTAAGAAAAAAAGGCTTGATTTTCCTTGAAGTGTCAGAGAGTATATGGCTCCCTGACTCTGATGAGGAGCGAAACATCCCTGGTTTTGCTATGGGCCTAAAACCTAAATTCCTAAGATCAGAATTCTAAGTCCTTCTCCAACTCACCCACTGTAGAGTAGAGCCTTCACTCTATTTCTGTGACCATGGATGTGTGGTGGAGCATTAGTCCTGGGACAGAAAGTCCCTGCGTTGTTCCCAGGCAGGGCTGAATGAGGACCCTGGACAGTAGTGAAATACATGTGGGAGTTTGAGTCCAATGGCCTTCTAGCGCCTTGCTCCCTGCAGACATCTGATTGTCCCTGTGAGTACTTGGGCTATAGGGAGACATTCTAGTTCTGCAACAGCCAAGGGGCAAGACCTCAGTAAAGAAGTGACACACCTGATGAAGACATTTCCTAAAATGTAAGAGAAGAAGTGAGTTAATTTACATTGCTCTGGAAGTCGTTATTGATCAACACAGAGTCACACTGCTGACATGTTTGAAGCATCTTTTGGGGCTATAAAGATGAAATTTATTTCATCGGCAGGAACATTTCATAATCAATATTGGAGGCCACTTGCAGATACTATTTTAGCCACAAAGGCAAAGTGGATTTGATTTGAGCCTGTCTCTAGGTTAAGTGGTTTGCTATTGAGATATAATAAGTTTCCTGATGTAGGGATTTAATTTTTAAAATATCAACTATATTTAAAAATTATTTCAAAATATCCACATATATATATAGATCTTATAGCATGTTGATATATAATGTATTCTCTCATGCTTGACCTACTGTATTTCTCCCAGCCCCACCACGTGGATTCTGAGGTCCAGCTTTGCTGAATTACTCACTAGTCCCTTTGTACTTGCCTCTGTGTCTTTGTTTGGGTTATTCCTTCACTTGAAATTCTCCTGCCTCCACTAGACCACATCCTATTCTTTCGTTAAGACTCTTCTCAAGTGCTGACTCTCCGTGAAGATTTTTGAGCATATGCTGGCAGTGCCCCACCCATAGTCCCTTAGCCCACTTACAGGAGTCGAAGGTAGTGCCTGTAAACAGTGAAACTTCCTGTCCCCTTTGGAGGGTGTTCTCGGCCACAGGTGGCGTTTTGGGCTGCTGGGCAAGGGAGCTTATTGCTCCAGGAGCAACCCTCGATCTTAAGGAAGGGGAGTTTTAGGATAAACACTCCATCTTCCTCTTCTCTTATTGCAGTGACCCTGAGGGATGTTCACTCTCTGAGTTTCCCCAGTGTGGCAGAGCCCCAGTTGCTCACAGTGGTAACCTGCTCATTAAAGATTCCTTTATAGGTTTTTCTTCCTTTGCTCTTGACTTCTACTCCTTTTGCGTGTCTTGAGATTCTCTCTCTCACAAATAAACGACTTGCACTCAAATCCTCATATCAGGATGTGCTTCTGGGGAAAACCAAACTCCAGACAACGTCCCTTATACTCTAAATGCAAGTAATGTCTTTCTACTCCTGAGATTCCACCTGTACCTTTTCCATTGCATCTATTGTGTTTTACCTTGTCTTAGAGAAAGTTCTATCTCTGACATATCTCTTCTATTAATATATGACCTTTTTGAAGGCAGGATATCTGGTGAATTCTCCTTTTATTTTCCACATTGCTTAACACAGTACTTTCCAGAGAGCATGTATTCATTATCTGTTTATTGAATAAGTGAATAAATGAATAAATGAATGATAAACTAATGAATGAATGACAAAGTTCCCTCCCACTTTATGCTTTATCAGTGCAGGTTTAGGCAGAACACATCTCAGTCTTTAGCACATGGGAGGAGCTCAAAACATTTTAGTGGCGTGAAAGAAAAGCATTTTTGGCTGAAACAAAGCAATCCACAGGAGGGGACAGCCAAGCCTTAAACCAGACCTATATTCAGTTCGTGGTCAGTTGATTCAATGGTATTTGAGAAGTCTGCATGTTCTGTTGACTTTAGAGGCTGTTAGCAGCCAAACCCAGTTTGCTGGGTCCTCACAGAAAGAGCCAAAATAGTCTGTCAGTCTGGACTCTGTCCCTGTCTCTGTGAATGAGCCTCAGGACTGGCCAGAGGCAAGAGGGATACCTGCCTCCCTGACAGCTGTCAGCTGCCCATGGATGTAGGAAACCAAACCAACTCAAGTTGCAGCCTATAAAATTCAGATTACTCTGAACCACGGAGGGGAAGCCCTAAAATCCCTCAGATAGTGCCCAAGACCTGATCTCAGCCTGAAAACTCCCCTAGGGGCACTGGGGCTTGGCTGGACTCCCCTGGGGATGGGTGGGACGGAGGAGCCCAGGGAATTCTTTGGGTTGTGGGAGTGTTGAGGAGATTGTGAGGCCCCAATTCAGACTTTCAGCTGCTTGAAGAGTTTTCTTGCTGCTTGACTGTGTTGATGTCTCAGGGTCCAGGGTGATAGAAGAGGTGACATCTATTTCTTTGTGTCAAGGGAACTGATGAGTGTGCTAGGAATAGACCTCACCAAAAATGAGGGCAAGGCACTAACGTGCATTAAGTGGCTGCCCAAAATAATGGCTTCAGGGAGTGGAGCTGGGAGTTGCAGTCACCTTGGACCATGCGCAAGTGGTGTAAACATGCTCAGCCTTGGTTGCCTTCCTTGTTACTGGGAACAACCATGACACCCTAAGACAATTAGGAGGCTTATGGGAGATGATACATGCAAAGTACCTGGGCCACAGTAGATATAGAAATATGTATGTTCCACAGTTACCTTTCAAGAACACGCATAGGTAGAGAATCCTTTACTCCTGGGCTGGTCTAGGTCCTGGGATTTGGAGACCTGAAAGGAAGTGGTGAGAAATACTCTCCTTCCACCCCTGTGCCTTGACTGCAGCCGGTTCTGACCCCAGACCTTGGAGCCTGAGAAGTTTCTGAGGAAGCGAATGCTCCCAGGTATACTAAGTTCCTGAGGCAGGCACCTTAGTCAGACGTGGGAGCTTAAGAAAGTGAAAAATCTGGCCAGGCAAGGTGGCTCATGCCTGTAATCCCAACACTTTGGGAGGCTGAAGCAAGCAGATCACTTGAGGTCAGGAGTTCAAGACCAGCCTGGCCAACATGGTGAAACCCTATGTTTTTACTAAAAATACTACTAAACTAAAATACATGACTCTACTAAAAATACAAAAATTATTCGGGCATGGTGGAGCGTGCCTGTGATCCCAGCTACTCGGGATGCTGAGGCAGGAGACTTGATTGAACCCAGGAGGCAGAGGTTGCAGTGAGCTGAGATCGCACCACTGCACTCCAGCCTGGGCAACGGAGCGAGACTCTGAAATAAAGAAAATGAAAATCTCATAAGCAGTTGGTTGATGGACACGGAATTGCACATTCCTGCCTCCTGGAAGGAAGCAGAGATAAATACTTAGTTAAAAAAAGAGACAGAATCCCCTGGGAGCAACCCAAACAACTCAGAAAAGTAACGTGAAAGACTTCATAATTTTCAGTATTAAAAAAGCTTTTAATTTAAGTATATAATGGATAACACAGAAACAGGAATGTTGCATAGGTAATGAGCTTTCATGCTTTTTTTTTTTTTTTTGGGTGGTTGGGAACAATGAAGGGAAAATAAAAATTTGTAAGCCAAATCAGCTTTGGTAAGGAGAGAAAACACATTTTTAAAATCTTTTATTATAGGTAAACAAGAACTCTCTTCTGTCATACCTTCGTTTATAATGTTGGCAACTATGTTTTCTTTTACTTTATTAATTAATTTGTTTACATAGCTTTTGAAATATAATTTAAACTTTTATTTTAGACTCAGGGGGTACATGTGCAGGTTTGTTACCTGGGTATATTGTGTGATGCTGAGGTCTGGGGTACGAATGATCCCATCCACCAGGTACAGAGCATAGTACCCAATAGGTAGTTTTTCATCCCTTGCCCCCTTCCTCCCTCTTCCCTCTAGTAGTCCCCAGTTTCTATTGTCCCCTTCTTTGTGTCGATGAGTACACATTGTTTAGCTTTCACTCATAAATGAGAATGGCGGTATCTGGTTCTGTTCCTTTGTTGATTCACTTAGGATAATGGCCTTTAGCTGCATCCATGTTGCTGCAAAGGACATGATTTCATTTTTTTTATGGCTATGTAGTATTCCACAGTGTACATGTACTACATTTTCTTTATCCAATCCACCATTGATGGGCACCTAGATTGATTCCATGTTTTTGCTATTATGAATAGTGCTGCAAGGAACATGTGCGTACATGTGGTTTTTTTTTTTTTTTTTTTTTTGGCAAAACGTTTCTTTTGGATGTATACTCAGTAATGAGACTGCTAGGTTGAATGGTAGTTCTGTTTGAAGTTCTTTGAGAAATTTCCAGACTGCTTTCTACAGTGGCTGAACTAATTTACATTCCCACCATCAGTGTATAAGTGTTCCCTTTTCCCTGCAGCCTTGCCAGCGTCTGTTATTTTTTGACTTTTTAATAATAGACATTCTGACTAGTGTGAGAGGGTATCTCATTGTGGTTTTGAATTGCATTTGAATTGAATTGATGATTAGTGATGTGGGGTATTTTTTTCATAGGTTTGTTGGCTGCTCGTATGTCTTCTTTTGAGAATTGTCTGTCCATATCTTTTGCCTGTTTTTTACTAGTTTTTTTTTTTTTTTTTTTTTTTTGCTTGTTCAATTGTTTAAGTTCCTTAAAGATTCTGGATATTTGACCTTTGTTGGTTGGGCAGTTTCTGAATATTTTCTCCCATTCTGCTGGTTGTCTATTTACTCTGTTGATAGTTTCTTTTGCTGTGTAAGAAGCTCTTTAGTATAATTAGGTCCCACTTGTCAATTTTTGTCTTTGTTACAATTGCTTTTGAGGACTTAGTAATAAATTATTTCCCAAGACTGATGACCAGAATGGTGTTTCCTAGGTTTTCTTCTAGAATTCTTATAGTTTGAGGTCTTACATTTAAATATTTAATCTATCTTGAGTTATTTTTGTATATGGTAAAAGGTAGGGGTCCAGTTTCATTCTTCTGCACATGGCTAACCAGGTATCCCAGTACAATTTATTGAATAGGGACTCCTTTCTCATTGCTTATTTTTGTTGACTTTTATCAAAGATCAGATGGCCGTAGGTGTGTGGCTTTATTTCTGAGTTCTCTATTCTGTTCAATTGGTCTATGTGTCTGTTTTTGTAACAGTATCATGCTGTTGTAGTTACTGTAGCTTTATAGTATAGTTTGAAGTCAGGTAATGTAATACCTTCAGCTTTGTTCTTTTTCTTTAGGATTGCTTTGGCTATTCAGGCTCTTTTTTGGTTCCATATGAATTTTAGAATAGTTTTTTTCTAGTTCTGTGAAAAGAGACATTGGTAGCTTGATAGGAATAGCATTGAATCTGGAGGTTGCTTTGGGCAGTATGACTATTTTAATGATATTGATTCTTCCAATCTGTGAGCATGGAATTTTTTTTCTTATTTTGAGACAGGGTTTCACTCTGTCACCCAGGCTGGAATGCAGTGGTGTGATCTTAGCTCACTGCAGCCTCGACATCCCCAGCTCAAGTGATCCTCTCATCTGAGCCTGCTGAGTAGCTGGGACTACAGGTGCATGCCACCATGCCCTGGCTAATTTTTTGCATTTTTAGTAGAGATGGGGTTTTGCCATGTTGCCCAGGCTGGTCTCAAACTCCTGGGCTCAAGTGATCTACATACCTCAGCCTCCCAAAGTGCTGGGATTACAGGTGTGAGCCACCGTGCCCAGCTAAGAATGTGTTTCCATTTGTTTGTGTCATCTGTGGCTTATTTTACTGGTGTTTTGTAGTTCCCCTTCTGGAGATAGTCCACCTCCTTGCTTAGATGTATTTTTAGGTATTTTATTTTATTTTTTTCCGCTACTGTAAATGGGATTGCATTCTTAATTTGGTTCTCATCTTGAATGTTACTGGTGTGTAGAAATGCTACTAATTTTTGTACATTGATTTTGTATCCTGAAGCTTTACTGAAGTCATTTATCAGTTCCAGGAGCCTTTTGGCAGAGTCCTTAGGGTTTTCTAGGTATAGAATCATATCACCCATGGGGAGAGATAGTCTAGGGGTTTCTATAAGCTTGGAGAGTGAGAATGTTTTAATTTGGAAGTATAGTAGTAGGAGATTTAGGTTAGATGATGAAAAAAAGTATTTATGTGAATAAGGCCCTGAAGTAGAGTTATGATGAGGATACCCATCCTATAATCACATTTTTGGAGCACCTTTCCTTAGGTAGTTAGGGCAGGTGGAAAAATGGCCCCCAAAATGTCCATATTCTAATCCCAAGAACCTGTGAATATGTTTACCTTACATGGAAAACTAGACCTTACAGATATGATAAAGTTAAGGACCCTGAGATGTGACATTAGCTTTGATTATCCACATGAGTCCAGTTCAATCATGTGGGTTCTCAGGAACAGAGAATCTTTCCAGGCTTGGGTCAGAGGGACATGTGACTACACAAAAATGGCTGGAGAGATGCAACATTGCTGGTTTTGAGGGTGGAAGAAGGGGCAAGAAGCCAAGGAAGGTGGTGTCCCCTTGAAGCTGGAAAAGGCAAGGAAATGGATTCTCTCCTACAGCCTCCAGAAAGGAATGCAGCCCTGCCAACACCCTGGTTTTAGCCCAGTGAGACCTGTGGTGGGCTTCTGACCTGCAGGGCTGTAAAATAATAAATTTGTATTGTTTTAAGCTGCCAAGTTTGTTGTAGTTTGTTACCACAAGCAGCAACAGGAAACTAATATGGTAGTGGAGAACTGGGCTAATGACTGCAGATCTCTTAGAGTGCATCTAGTTCTGGGATTCCTTAGTCCAAACTGGCTTATTAAACACTTCCTCCTATATGAATAATCTCCCCATTAGCTTCACATACTTCCAAAGAATGTGACAGCATAAACTACTTAAGTCAAGACAAATAGACTTAATGAGTTGGCTCATCTTGATTTTTATGAACATTTTCTCATTGATCAAAGACAGTCTTTTTTTCCCCCTCTGCTCTCTCAGAATAGTCCAGTTCAAACATACTTCTTTTGAAATGAGTTCAAAAGTGTATCCCCTGTACATTGTCAGTGTTTTGTGCTCTAGGACCTTAGGAAATTAACTTTCACATATTACCTTTTAGCTGCCAAGATGGGTCACTGACACTTTAACAGATGAGATTTAATTACAGTGCAAACAAAAATGTACCAATGTGCTACCCAGAGCAAACCAATGCTGGCTGAAGAGGGCTCAGAATGACACTGATTCTGAGATTGAATTAGTAAGAGGGAAGAACTGAGGGAGTTCAGGGCAGGGAGTCATGCTGACCCAGGTCTCCCTTAGCTGTAAACCCCACAGGGTTGCTATAAGAAGGGATTTCCCTTTAAAAGCAACCATTAGGCCCAAAACATCCTAAAATGATTGTTTTTAAGGATTAAAATGAATATTTATACTCAGAAGATAAAAAGATTGTGAAAAAGTCATTGAGTCTATTCTACTCTTTCCTAGAATGTTTTGCTTAACCTGTATTGCCACTCAGAAAGGACGGAGAAGGTGCAGAGAGGGATCTACTTTCCAAAGACAAATTAAATTTCCATTTCTGAACAGCTGGGAGAGCCATAGTCACAGAACCATAAATTTTTGCAAACCATGTTCCCTAGACCTCTTTTTACCTCAAAACTTTCTGGAAGCCCTAGATAAGAAGATAAATACAAGGCATATCATTCCATTCTATTCTATTTCATTCCACTGAATTAAATCCAATTTGTATTTATTGAGTACCTATTATGAGTCAGGTATTGTATCAATAGTTGAGAAGATAAATCAAGAAGATACATTTTTTTAAATTATCATTATTATACTTTAAGTTTTAGGGTACATGTGCACAATGTGCAGGTTAGTTACATATGTATACATGTGCCATGCTGGTGTGCTGCCCCCATTAACTCGTCATTTAGCATTTGGTATATCTCCTAATGCTATCCCTCCCTGCTCCCCCTACCCCACAACAGTCCCCAGAGTGTGATGTTCCCCTTCCTGTGTCCATGTGTTCTCATTGTTCAATTCCCATCTATGAGTGAGAACATGCGGTGTTTGGTTTTTTGTCCTTGCGATAGTTACTGAGAATGATGATTTCCAATTTCATCCATGTCCCTACAAAGGACATGAACTCATCATTTTTTATGGCTGCATAGTATTCCATGGTGTATATGTGCTACATTTTCTTAATCCAGTCTATCATTGTTGGACATTTGGGTTGGTTCCAAGTCTTTGCTATTGTGAATAGTGCCACAATAAACATACGTGTGCATGTGTCTTTATAGCAGCATGATTTACAGTCCTTTGGGTGTATACCCAGTAATGGGATGGCTGGGTCAAATGGTATTTCTAGTTCTAGATCCCTGAGGAATCGCCACACTGACTTCCACAATGATTGAACTAGTTTACAGTCCCACCAACAGTGTAAAAGTGTTCCTATTTCTCCACATCCTCTCCAGCACCTGTTGTTTCCTGACTTTTAATGATTGCCATTTTAACTGGTGTGAGATGGTATCTCACTGTGGTTGTGATTTGCATTTCTCTGATGGCCAGTGATGATGAGCATTTTTTCATGTGTCTTTTGGCTGCATAAATGTCTTCTTTTGAGAAGTGTCTGTTCATATCCTTTGCCCACTTTTTGATGGGGTTGTTTGTTTTTTTCTTGTAAATTTGTTTGAGTTCGTTTTAGATTCTGGATATTAGCCCTTTGTCAGATGAGTAGGTTGCGAAAATTTTCTCCCATTTTGTAGGTTGCCTGTTCACTCTGATGGTAGTTTCTTTTGCTGTGCAGAAGCTCTTTAGTTTAATTAGATCCCATTTGTCAATTTTATCTTTTGTTGCCATTGCTTTTGGTGTTTTAGACATGAAGTTCTTGCCCATGCCTGTGTCCTGAATGGTAATGCCTAGGTTTTCTTCTAGAGTTCTTATGGTTTTGGGTCTAACATTTAAGTCTTTAATCCATCTTGAATTAATTTTTGTATAAGGTGTAAGGAAGGGATCCAGTTTCAGCTTTCTACATATGGCTAGCCAGTTTTCCCAGCACCATTTATTAAATAGGGAATCCTTTCCCCATTGCTTGTTTTTCTCAGGTTTGTCAAAGATCAGATAGTTGTAGATATGTGGCGTTATTTCTGAGGGCTCTGTTCTGTTCCATTGATCTATATCTCTGTTTTGGTACCAGTACCATGCTGTTTTGGTTACTGTAGCCTTGTAGTATAGTTTGAAGTCAGGTAGCGTGATGCCTCCAGCTTTGTTCTTTTGGCTTAGGACTGACTTGGCGATGTGGGATCTTTTTTGGTTTCATATGAATTTTAAAGTAGTTTTTTCCAATTCTGTGAAGAAAGTCGTTGGTAGCTTTATTGGGATGGCATTGAATCTATAAATTACCTTGGGCAGTGTGGCCATTTTCACGATATTGATTGTTCCTACACATGAGCATGGAATGTTCTTCCATTTGTTTGTATCCTCTTTTATTTCATTGAGCAGTGGTTTGTAGTTCTCCTTGAAGAGGTCTTTCACGTCCCTTGTAAGTTGGATTCCTAGGTATTTTATTCTCTTTGAAGCAATTGTGAATGAGAGTTCACTCATGATTTGGCTCTCTGTTTGTCTGTTATTGGTGTATAAGAATGCTTATGATTTTTGTGCATTGGTTTTGTATCCTGAGACTCTGCTGAAGTTGCTTATCAGCTTAAGGAGATTTTGGGCTGAGACAATGGGGTTTTCTAGATATACAATCATGTTGTGTGCAAACAGGGACAATTTGACTTCCTCTTTTCCTAATTGAATACTCTTTATTTCCTTCTCCTGCCTAATTGCCCTGGCCAGAACTTCCAACACTATGTTGAATAGGAGTGGTGAGAGAGGGCATCCCTGTCTTGTGCCAGTTTTCAAAGGGAATGCTTCCAGTTTTTGCCCATTCAGTATGATATTGGCTGTGGGTTTGTCATAGATAGCTCTTATTATTTTGAGATATGTCCCATCAATACCTAATTTATTGAGAGTTTCTAGCATGAAGCATTGTTGAATTTTGTCAATGGCCTTTTCTGAATCTATTGAGATAATCATGTGGTTTTTGTCTTTGGTTATGTTTATATGCTGGATTACATTTATTGATTTGCGTATATTGAACCAGCCTTGCATCCCAGGGATGAAGCCCACTTGATCATGGTGGATAAGCTTTTTGATGTGCTGCTGGATTTGGTTTGCCAGTATTTTATTGAGGATTTTTGCATCAGTGTTCATCAAGGATATTGGTCTAAAATTCTCTTTTTTTATTGTGTCTCTGCCCGGCTTTGGTATCAGGATGATGCTGGCCTCATAAAATGAGTTAGGGAGGATTCCCTCTTTTTCTATTGATTGGAATAGTTTCAGAAGGAATGGTACCAGTTCCTCCTTGTACCTCTGGTAGAATTCGGCTGTGAATCCATCTGGTCCTGGACTCTTTTTGGTTGGTAAGCTGTTGATTATTGCCACAATTTCAGATCCTGTTATTGGTCTATTCAGAGATTCAACTTCTTCCTGGTTTAGTCTTGGGAGAGTGTATGTGTCGAGGAATTTATACATTTCTTCTAGATTTTCTAGTTTATTTGTGTAGAGGTGTTTGTAGTATTCTCTGATGATAGTTTGTATTTCTGTGGGATCGGTGGTGATATACCCTTTATCATTTTTTATTGCGTCTATTTGATTCTTCTCTCTTTTCTTCTTTATTAGTCTTGCTAGTGGTCTATCAATTTTGTTGATCCTTTCAAAAAACCAGCTCCTGGATTCATTAATTTTTTGAAGGGTTTTTATGTCTCTGTTTCCTTCAGTTCTGCTCTGATCTTAGTTATTTCTTGCCTTCTGCTAGCTTTTGAATGTGTTAGCTCTTGCTCTTCTAGTTCTTTTAATTGTGATGTTAGGGTGTCAATTTTGGATCTTTCCTCCTTTCTCTTGTGGGCATTTAGTGCTATAAATTTCCCTCTACACACTGCTTTGAATGTGTCCCAGAGATTCTGGTATGTTGTGTCTTTGTTCTCGTTGGTTTCAAAGAACATCTTTATTTCTGCCTTCATTTCGTTATGTACCCCAGTAGTCATTCAGGAGCAGGTTGTTCAGTTTCCATGTAGTTGAGCGGTTTTGAGTGAGTTTCTTAATCCTGAGTTCTAGTTTGATTGCACTGTGGTCTGAGAGACAGTTTGTTGTAATTTCTGTTCTTTTACATTTGCTGAGGAGTACTTTACTTCCAACTATGTGGTCAATTTTGGAATAGGTGTGGTGTGGTGCTGAAAAAAATGTATATTCTGTTGATTAGGGGTGGAGAGTTCTGTAGATGTCTATTAGATCCGCTTGGTGCAGAGCTGGGTTCAATTCCTGGGTATCCTTGTTAGCTTTCTGTCTCGTTGATCTGTCTGATGTTGACAGTGGGGTGTTAAAGTCTCCCATTATTATTGTATCGGAGTCTAAGTCTCTTTGTAGGTCACTCAGGACTTGCTTTATGCATCTGGGTGCTCCTGTATTGGGTGCATATATATTTAGGATACTTATCTCTTCTTGTTGAATTGATCCCTTTACCATTATGTAATGGCCTTCTTTGTCTCTTTTGATCTTTGTTGGTTTAGAGTCTGTTTTATCAGAGACTAGGATTGCAACCCCTGCCTTTTTTTGTTTTCCATTTGCTTGGTAGATCTTCCTCCATCCTTTTATTTTGAGCCTATGTGTGTCTCTGCACATGAGATGGGTTTCCTGAATACAGCACACTGATGGGTCTTGACTCTTTATCCAATTTGCCAGTCTGTGTCTTTTAATTGGAGCATTTAGTCCATTTACATTTAAAGTTAATATTGTTATGTGTGAATTTGATCCTGTCATTATGATGTTAGCTGGTTATTTTGCTGGTTAGTTCATGCAGTTTCTTCCTAGTCTCAGTGGTCTTTACATTTTGGCATGATTTTGCAGTGGCTGGTACCGGTTGTTCCTTTCCATGTTTAGTGCTTCCTTCAGGAGCTCTTGTAGGGCAGGCCTGGTGGTGACAAAGTCTCTCAGCATTTGCTTGTCTGTAAAGTATTTTTTTTCTCCTTCCCTTATGAAGCTTAGTTTGGCTGGATATGAAATTCTGGGTTGAAAATTCTTTTCTTTAAGAATGTTGAATATTGGCCCCCACTCTCTTCTGGCTTGTAGAGTTTTTGCCGAGAGATCCGCTGTTAGTCTGATGGGCTTCCCTTTGAGGGTAACCCGACCTTTCTCTCTGGCTGCCCTTAACATTTTTTCCTTCGTTTCAACTTTGGTGAATCTGACAATTATGTGTCTTGGAGTTGCTCTTCTTGAGGAGTATCTTTGTGGCATTCTCTGTATTTCCTGAATCTGAATGTTGGCTTGCCTTGCTAGATTGGGGAAGTTCTCCTGGATAATATCCTGCAGAGTGTTTTCCAACTTGGTTCCATTCTCCCTGTCACTTTCCAGTACACCAATCAGACGTAGATTTGGTCTTTTCACATAGTCCCATATTTTTTGGAGACTTTGTTCGTTTCTTTTTATTCTTTTTTCTTTAAACTTCCCTTCTCACTTCATTTCATTCATTTCATCTTCCATCACTGATAACCTTTCTTCCAGTTGATCGCATTGGCTCCTGAGGCTTCTGCATTCTTCACGTAGTTCTCGAGCCTTGGCTTTCAGCCCCATCAGGTCCTTTAAGCACTTCTCTGTATTGGTTATTCTAGTTATACATTCACCTAAATTTTTTTCAAAGTTTTCAACTTCTTTGCGTTTGGTTTTAATTTCCTCCTGTAGCTCAGAGTAGTTTGATTGTCTGAAGTCTTCTTCTCTCAACTTGTCAAAGTCATTCTCTGTCCAGCTTTGTTCCATTGCTGGTGAGGAACTACATTCCTTTGGAGGAGGAGAGGCGCTCTGCTTTTTAGAGTTTCCAGTTTTTCTGCTCTGTTTTTTCCCCATCTTTGTGGTTTTATCTACTTTTGGTCTTTGATGATGGTGATGTACAAATGGGTTTTTGGTGTGGATGTCCTTTCTGTTTGTTAGTTTTCCTTCTAACAGACAGGAACCTCAGCTGCAGGTCTGTTGCAGTTTGCTAGAGGTCCACTCCAGACCCTGTTTGCCTGGGTATCAGCAGCGGTGTCTGCAGAACAGTGGATTTTCATGAACCACGAATGCTGCTGTCTGATTGTTCCTCTGGAAGTTTTGTCTCAGAGGAGTACCCGGCCATGTGAGGTGTCAGTCTGCCCCTACTGGGAGGTGCCTCCCAGTTAGGCTGCTTGGGGGTCAGGGGTCAGGGACCCACTTGAGGAGGCAGTCTGCCCATTCTCAGATCTCCAGCTGCGTGCTGGGAGAACCACTGCTCTCTTCAAAGCTGTCAGACAGGGACATTTAAGTCTGCAGAGGTTACTGTTGTCTTTTTGTTTGTCTGTGCCCTGCCCCCAGAGGTGGAGCCTACAGAGGCAGGCAGGCCTCCTTGAGCTGTGGTGGGCTCCACCCAGTTCGAGCTTCCAGGCTGCTTTGTTTATCTAAGCAAGCCTGGGCAATGGCGGGTGCCCCTCCCCCAGCCTGGCTGCGGCCTTGCAGTTTGATCTCAGATTGCTGTGCTAGCAATCAGCGAGACTCCGTGGGCGTAGGACCCTCTGAGCCATGTGCAGGATATAATCTCCTGGTGTGCTGTTTCCTAAGCCCATTGGAAAAGCGCAGTATTCGGGTGGGAGTGACCCGATTTTCCAGGTGCCGTCTGTCACCCCTTTCCTTGACCAGGAAAGGGAACTCCCTGACCCCTTGCACTTCCCAAGTGAGGCAATGCCTCGCCCTGCTTCAGCTCGCACATGGTGTGCTGCACCCACTGTCCTGCGCCCACTGTCTGGCACTCCCTAGTGAGATGAACCCGGTACCTCAGATGGAAATGTAGAAATCACCCATCTTCTGCGTCGCTCACACTGGGAGCTGTAGACCGGAGCTGTTCCTATTCGGCCATCTTGGCTCCTCCTCCCAAGAAGATACATTTTTTTTACCCTCAAGGGACTCGCTGTTGAGCAGGAAAAGCATGTGAGCAAAGTTCACTTGAGGGATTAGTGCTACAATAATAGGGGTAAATAGAAAATGTGAACGGAGCAGAGAAGAAATGGGTTAATCAACATGGCAAGGAGGATATGCAGGAAGTCTCCTGGAGGAGGTGATGTCTTTATTGGGGTTTCAATTATGATTGGTATTTTGACAAGGAACAAGTAAGAAAGAGTTTTGTATGCAGTGGAAGAAACTCTCTAGGTGAATTCTTTCCCACACTTGAATGGCTGACTGGAGCACTTCATTGCAGATGGGTTGCTGAGGGGTAGTAAGTACATTAAGCCTGAACTTTGTTTCCAGAAGGACCTACATATGAGTCTTACTGGCAACTTCCTATATAACCCTTAGAAAGTTACTTAACCTTTTTGTCAGACACCTTATATAGGAGCAATCCTACTGGCAACAAGTTGATGTCCCTCAAGGTCAGAGATCCCAGAAGAAGGAGCAGACACCCATTTTTGCTGTTCCCCAGCCTCCTTGAGTTGCATCTCCAGGCATTGGGGCAAACCAGACGAATAGGGCCTGAAATGAACCCTCAACAAACCGCAGCAGCCCTACAGAAGAAGGGCCTGACCATTGAAAGAAAAACAAACAGAAAGCAACAACAACAAGAGGAAACAAACAAAACAACAACAACAAAAACAACAACAAAGTCCCTACAAAAACCCCATTCAAGTGTCAGCAGCCTCAAAGAAGAAACCAGACAAACTGATGGAGATGAGAATCAATGAAAAAAACACTGAAAACCCAAAAAGCAAAAGTGCCTCTTCTCTTCCAAATGATTGCAATGCCTCTGCAGCAAGGGCACAGAACTGGACGGAGGATGAGATGGACAAATTGACAGAAGTAGGCTTCAGAAGATGGGTAATTAAAAACTCTGCTGAGCTAAAGGAGCATGCTCACACCCAATGCAAAGAAGCTAAGAACCTTGATAAAAGGTTAGAGAAGCTGCTAACTAGAATAACCAATTTAGAGAGAAACATAAATGACGTGGTGAATCTGAAAAACACAGCACATGAACTTCGTGAAACATACACAAGTATTAGTAGCCAAATTAACCAAGCGGAAGAAAAGATGTCAGAGTTTGAAGACCACCTTGCTGAAATAAGGCATGCAGACAAGATTAGAGAAAAAAGAATGACAAGGAATGAACAAAGCCTCTGAGAAATATGGGACTACCTAAAAAGGCCAAACTTACAATTGACTGTAGTACCTGAAGGTGATGGGGAGAATGGAAACAAGCTGGAAAACATACTTAAGGATATTATTCGGGAGAACTTCCCCAACCTAGCAAGACAGGCCAACATGCAAATTCAGGAAATACAGACAATAGCACTAAGATACTCCACAAGAAGATCAACCCCAAGACACATAACCATCCGATTCTCCAAGGTTGAAATGAAGGAAAAAATATAGGTGACCTGGCCAGAGAGAAAGGCCAGGTCACCTACAAAGGGAAGCCCATCAGACTAACAGCAGACCTCTCAGCAGAAACCCTACAAGCCAGAAGAGATTGGAAGCCAATATTAAACATTCTTAAAGGAAAGAATTTTCAACCCAGAATTTCATATTCAGCCAAACTAAGCTTCATAAGTGAAGAAGAAATAAAATCCTTTCCAGACAAGCAAATGCTGAGGGATTTCATCACCACCAGGCCTACCTTGCAAGAGCTCCCGAAGAAAGCACTGAATATGGAAAGCAAAAACTGGTACAAGCCACTGCAAAAACACACCAAAATATAAAGACCAATGACACTACGAAGAAACTGCATCAACTAATGTGCAAAATGACCAGATAGCATTATGATGATCAAATTCACACATACAATACTAACCTTAAATATAAATGGGCTAAATGCCCCAGTTAAAAGACACAAACTGGCAAATTGGGTAAAGAGTCAAGACCCATCCATGTGCTATATTCAGGAGACCCATCTCACATGCAAAGACACACATAGACTCAAAATAAAGGGATGGGGGAATATTTACCAAGCAAATGGAAAGAAAAAAAAAAAGCAGGATTGCAATCCTAGTCTCTGCCAACACAGAACAGAGACTTTAAACCAGCAAAGATAAACAACAACAACAACAAAAGAAGGGCATTACATAATGGTAAAGGGATCAATGCAACAAGAAGAGCTAACTATCCTAAATAGATATGGACCCAATACAGGAGCATCCAGATTCATAAAACAAGTTCTTAAAGACCTACAAAGAGATTTAGACTCCCACACAATAATCATGGGAGAGTTTAACACCCCACTGTAAATATTAGACAGATCAATGAGACAGAAAATTAACAATGTTTTTCAGGACTTGAACTCAGCTCTGAATCAAGTGGACCTAATAGACATCTACAGAACTCTCCACCCTAAATCAACAGAATATACATTCTTCTCAGTGCCACACAACATTTATTCTTAAATCAGCCACATAATTGGAAGTAAAACATTCCTCAGCAAATGCAAAAGAACTGAAATCATAACAAAGTCTCTCAGATGACAGTGCAACCAAATTAGAACTCAGGATTAAGAAACTCACCCAAAACCACACAATTACATGGAAATTGAACAACCTGCTCCTGAATGACTCCTGGTCAAATAATAAAATTAAGGCAGAGATCAACAAGTTCTTTGAAACCAATGAGAACAAAGGATAATGTACCAGAATCTCTGGGACACAGCTAAAGCAATGTTAAGAGGAAAATTTATAACATTAAATGCCCACATCAGAAAGCTAGAAAGATCTCAAATCAACACCCTAACATCACAATTAAAAGAGCTAGAGAAGCAACAGCAAACTAATCCAAAAGCTAGCAAAAGACAAGAAATAACTAAGATCAGAGCAGAATTGAAGGAGATAGAGACACAAAAACCCCTCCAAAAAATCAATGAATTCAGGAGCTGCTTTTTTGAAAAAATTAACAAAATAGATAGACTGCTAGCTAGACTAATAAAGAAGAAAAGAGAGAAGTATCAAATAGACACAATAAAAAATGATAAAGGGGATATCACCACTGACCCCACAGAAATACAAACTACTATCAGAGAAATAAGCTAGAAAATCCAGAAGAAATGGATAAATTCCTGGACACATACACCTTCCCAAGACTAAACCAGGAAGAAGTCAAATGCCTGAATAGACCAACAACAAGTTCTGAAATTGAGGCAGTAATAGCCTACCAACCGAAAAAAGCCCAGGACCAGACAGATTCACAGCTGATTTCTACCAGAGGTACAAAGAAGAGCTGGTACCATTCCTTCTGAAACTATTCCAAACAATTGAAAATGAGGGATTCCTCCCTAACTCATTTTCTGAAGCCAGCATCATCCTGATACCAAAACCTGGCAGAGGCACAACAAAAAAAATTTCAGGCCAATATCCCTGATGAACATCTATGCAAAAATCCTCAATAAAATACTGGGAAACCACATCCAGCATCACATTTAAAAGCTTATCCACCATGATCAAGTGGGCTTCATCCCTGGGATACAAGGCTGGTTCAACATATGCAAATCAATAAATGTAATCCATCACATAAACAGAACCAATGACAAAAACCACATGATTATCTCAATAGATGCAGAAAAGGCCTTTGATAAAATTCAACACCCTTCATGCTAAAAACACTCAATAAACTAGGTATTGATGGAACATATCTCAAAATAATAAAAGCTGTTTATGACAAACCACAGCCAATATCATACTGAATGGGCAAAAGATGGAAGCATTCCCTTTGAAAACTGGCACAAGACGAGGATGCCCTCTCTCACCACTCCTATTTAACATAGTATTGGAAGTTCTGGCCAGGAAAATCAGGCAAGAGAGAGAAATAAAGAGTATTCAAATAGGAAGAGAGGAAGTCCAGTTGTCTCTGTTTGCGGATGACATGATCGTATATTTAGAAAACCCCATTGTCTCAGCCCCAAAACTCCTTAAGCTGATAAACAAGTTCAGCAAAATCTCAGGCTACAAAATCAATGTGCAAAAATCACAAGCATTCCTATACAAAAATAATAGACAAACAGAGAGCCAAATCATGAGTGAACTCCCATTCACGGTTGCTACAAAGAGAATAAAATACCTAGGAATACAACAAGGGATGTAAAGAAACTCTTCAAGGAGAATTACAAACCACTGCTCAAGGAAATAAGAGAGGACACAAACAAATGGAAAAACATACTATCCTCATGGATAGGAAGAATCAGTATTGTGAAAATGGCCATACTGCCCAAAGTAATTTATAGATTCAATGCTATTACCATCAAACTACCATTGACATTCTTCACAGCATTAAGAAAAACTACTTTAAATTTCATATGGAATCAAAGAAGACCCTGTATATCCAAGACAATCCTAAGCAAAAAGAACAAAGCTGGAGACATCATGCTACCTGACTTCAAACTATACTACAAGGCTACAGTAACCAAAACAGCATGGTACTGATACCAAAACAGACAGAGACCTCAGAAATAACACCACACATCTACAACCATCTAATCTTTGACAAGCCAGACAAAAACAAGCAATGGGTAAAGGATCTTCTATTCAATAAATGGTGCTGGGAAAACTGGCTAGGCACATGCAGAAAACTGAAACTGTACCCCTTCCTTACCCCTTATATGAAAATTAACTCAAGATGGATTAAAGACTTAAATGTGAAACCCCAAACCATAAAAACCCTAGAATCAAATCTAGGTAATACCATTCAGGACAAAAGCATCGGCAAAGACTTAATGATGAAAACACCAAAAGCAATTGCAACAAAAGCCAAGATTGACAAATGGGATCTAATTAAACTAAAGAGCTTCTGCACAGCAAAAGAAACCATCATCAGAGTGAACAGGTAACCTACAGAATGGGAGAAAATTTTTGCAATCTACCCACCTGACAAAGGTCTAATACCCAGAATTTACAAGGAACTTAAACAAATTTACAAGAAAAAAACAAATGACCCCATCAAAAAGTGGGCAAAGGATATGAACAGACACTTCTCAAAGTAAGACATTTATGCAGCCAACAAACATGAAAAAAAGCTCAACATCACTGATCGTTAGAGAAATACAAATCAAAACCACAATGAGATACCATCTTATGCCAGTCAGAATGGCGATTATTAAAAAGTCAAGAAACAATAGATGCTGGTGAGGCTGTGGAGAAATGGGAATGCTTTTACACTGTTTGTAGGAGTGTAAATTAGTTCAACCATTGTGGAAGACAATATGGTGATTCCTCAGGGATCTAGAACCAGAAGTATCATTTGATCCAGCAATCCCATTACTGAGTATATACCCAAGGGAATATAAATTATTCTACTATAAAGACACATGCACATATATGTTTATTGTAGCACTATCTACAATAGCAAAGACATGGAACCAACCTAAATGCCCATCAATGATAGACTGGATAAAGAAAATGTGGTACATACATATATACCATGGAATACTATGCAGCCATAAGATTGAATGAGATTATGTCCTTTGCAGGGACATGGATGAAGCTGAAAGTTATCATCCTCAGCAAACTAACGTAGAAATAGAAAACCAAACACCTCATGTTCTAACTCATAGGTGGGAACTGAACAATGAGAACACATGGACACAGGGAGGGGAACAACACACACCAGGGCCTGTTGAGGGGTGCAGGGCAAGGGGAGGGAATTTAGAGGATGGTTCAATAGGTGCAGCAAACCACCATGGCACACGTATACCTGTGTAACAAACTTGCACGTTCTGCACATGTATCCTAGAACTTAAAGTAAAATAAAAAAAAAAATAAATAAAATTACTTAACTTTTTAAAGTCTGTTTCTTTTTCTGTGAAATGGAGACCCTAATAGAGCGTATCTTATAGGGCCATTCCAAGGATGAAATCAGCCAATGCTTTGCATATTGCTTGCCATCTAGTAGCAAATAGTATCTATTGTTTTGTTGCTGCCCAAATATGATTCTCCAAGAACTTGAGGGCAACACAGTTCTATTGCTACAATTTTGTCTAGGTCACAAAAATATCATAAATATTAGCTTCATTTTCTCTTTTTAGCCAAAAACTTTGGAGGCAGAATTGATCAGGCATAAGCAGTGGTGCAACTGGATGGCAATGTGTGGGTGAAGCAAAGAAAGTGACAAGCAGGGCTGGTTTTATGGGCATTTGACCTGTGTAGTTGCACGGGGCTCCATATTCAGAAGGGCTCTGCATTTGGTTTCTGCTGTCAATTCTTGAAATTTGCTGTTGTTTGAATGTTTGTCTTTTCCAAAAAGCCATGTTGAAATTTAATTGCCATTTTAACAGTATTAAGAGGTTGGACATTTAAGAGGTGTTTAGGCCATGAGGGCAGAGCTCTCATGAGTAGGATTGATGCCTTTATAGAAGGGAGGGGTTGGCCCTCTTTCCCTCTTGCAAACTATCTCTTTATTTTCTCAATCTCTCTCTCTTTGTCTTTCTTGCTTGCTCTCTTTCTTCCCTTCTGCCATGTGATGATGCAGCAAGAAGGCCCTCAAAAGGTGCCAACACCTTGACATTGGACTTCCTAGCCTCTGGAACTGTGAGCCAATGAATTTTTGCTTATTAAAAATTATACACTCTTGGGTATTGTGTTGCAGCAGCATGAAATGGACTAAGACACAAAATTCTTAATAATTTTTGAACAAATGATACTGAATTTTTATTTTGCACTAGGCTCTGCAAATTTTGTGTCTGGTCTTCGTGACAGGATTGTCTCAGGACAGGTCATCTCTTCTATTTCATGTTCCTCTCTGGCTAAGGGTCTGTAGGATCATATCCCTTCTTGAGGTTCTTCCTGGGGAAAGGGCTGCAGCATCTCTTTCTGTGTATGGGTCTTCCAGAAGTATAGTGCTAGGGCTGGGAAAAACCCACTTATGCATCAGCTCATCTGGCCATTCTGGGGCATTCACAAACATGAATTTGGTGTAGCTTCTGCCCCAGGGGAGCTCACACTCTAGAAGGTGGAGACAAATGTATACATAAATGACTACAGATTGATATGGCAAGTGCTAGAAGCAGGGATGTGGAAGGTGTTGTTGAAACCCAGAGAAAGACGTGCAGGAATCACAGTGTGTGTTAAACATTTATTATCTTTGTGTGTTGGTCTCTCCTAGGTTTTCTTGGAAGGATGTGTCATTTTTCCCATGATTTTATTTTCATGAATGAGGGTCCATGGGAGGGAAAGTTTGATACTGCAATTCTTGCAACTCAAAAAGGCACAAAACATGGATGTGTTTGAGTAGAGGCCTTCTCCTAAGATCCTACAGTGGGTTCTGGAAGTTTCTCCCTATCAGATGGTGTGAATGGCTGAAAATGACTTTATAGTCTGGCAAATAGGCACCTGAGGCTGATGGGGCCTCTGTCATAAGGTCCTTTAACATTCTTCTAATAGCTATTCTCATGGTAATTTTGCCATTTCCATAATATCTCTCTCCTCACTTGGAAATACCTTGAGTCCTATCTTTACTAGAAGTGAAAGTTTCCTACAGGGATCTTGATCAATGCTCTCAGTTATAAAATGTTTTCATTGGCCGATCAAAAAGATAATTTGGGGAAGATTTAGGTGTTTTTTCTCCCCCTCTAACAAAATAATTATAAACAATGTTAGACTGCAAGTTGGCCCTTAGTAATAAAACCGTACCTCTTCTTACTGAGCTCCATAAAGTCAGCCCTTACATCCTATTTGCCTCTACTGTGTCTAGCACAGTGCCTGCCACCTGGTAAGGACTCAAACAACAGCAGGTGAAATGGAACAGAATGTTGGAGTGGGAGTGAATGCCCTTTGGAACAGGAGTGCCAAAAAGCATTTTTTTCTTATTTATTTATTTTTGTACATAAATAGGTTATTTAGTGGTGATTTCTGAGATTTTGATACACCCATCACCTGAGCTGTGTACACTGTACCCAATGTGTAGTCTACCAAAAAGCAATTTTGAAAGGTAAAATGGAGTTTCTAAAGCTTCACCTGCTGAAAAGTAGCCAACCATGGCAGGCTTCCAGTCAATTCAGTGTCCTGGAATGCATCTACCTTTGAACACTAAGGTTATGCTTCAGTGATGCCAAGTAATTGGATTAACTGATTTGGACTTTTCCTGAATTGACCTTTTGTGTGCTGTCCATGTGGAGAGAACTGTAGAGTGCTCCTAGTTTCTCTTCAGTTACGTAAACTGAGGCTTGAGCCCCTTTCCAGAATATTTCTCAGCTGAGTTGATTCAATGTGTTGCATTATTCTATTTATCCAAATACCCTTTCCAAGCAAAAACAACAGACCTGGATTCATTTACAGCCAGGGCACAAAAATGTACATCTTTAACAGAATATCTTGTTATTTCAGAGCCAAATCCCACCTTCTGATGTTAACATTTTTCCTTTATAAGTAGTGGAAGCTGAGAGCCCATCACCACAGATCTCAATCTGGCCTTTGATTCCAGTCATGCTCTCCAACAACTGGGGAAAGCATTTAAGGTGAACAGGCGCTCTCAAGAGATGAACTTCTGGTCATTATTCCTTATGAGAAGACCTAGGGCTTCTCATAAAATAACACCTAGCATTTTTTTTTTACTTGAGAAAAGAGAAAGAAAGCAAAACCAAGTAAAACAGAATACATTTGAAGTAGATAGGATAGAACATCTTTGTAGTTGGAGATCCGAGATCAGACTCCTGCCCTAGATGTCTTTATCTTCATTTCTGTACCAAATAGCAACTTACCGTGAATTGGATGACCACCAATGCTATTATTATTATTGTTATTATTATTATTATTATATATCGGTCATGCAGTACTAGATATGGGCAAAGTGATTTACAATCATGCTATATGATTAAATAAAAAATGATTCTTTTAAGTGAATTGAATTTTTATCTGGCGAGTATTAGTCTACTGCTCTCTGGTTCACTTAACTCAGGCAGCAAAAATAAATGGCTCATTTTCACTTCTGAATATGAGTACATTTGTACACGACTCCCAAGTTTTAGAATTTAACACTTTGATAAAAAGTAAAAGCCAGAAACAGTTTTCGTGAAATTTTTTTAGCCTTTCATAAAAACAACCCTTCTGCAGTACTTGTAATATTGGTAACTGTAGTGAATTTAAATTAGAGAATGAGAAGATAGGCTAGAAAAAAGAAGAGAATGATTTGAGCTTGAAACAAGTGTTGTCACCTCCACTGCCACTGTCCTCATCATTCTAGTGGGTAATTAGAATAGCATAATAAAATAGAATAAAATTGATAGAGGTGATCATATCACACCCACCCCCTTGCTTGAACCTGTTGATGGTTTTCCATCGTTACCCAATGTCTGACATGTAATAGACCTAAAGCAAACTTTAATTGAATTTGTTGAAATTCTCATTTATAATACTCATAGGTCAAAGGAAAGAAGTTAGGAAGAAAAAAAGACTTTTGATTGATTACTAATGAGGCAGAATTTTTTTCTATGTTTATTGAACTTTTGAGTGTGTGTGTGAATTTCCTGTTGTTTCTTATCTATTTTTTTTCTGATATGGTGGGTGTGCTTTTTCTTTCTTGGTCTAAACATATATTTATTAAACCAGCAGTCCCCAACCTTTTTGGTACCAGGGACCAGTTTCATGGAAGAAAATTTTTCCACCAGGGTAAGATGATGGTTTTGGGATGATTCAAGCACATTATATTTATTGTGCACTTTATTTCTATTGCTATTATTACATTGTAATATATAATGAAAAAATTATACAACTCACCATAATGTAGAATCAGTGGGAGCCCTGAGCTTGTCTTCCTGAAACTAGACGGTCCCATCTGGGGTGATGGGAGACAGTGACAGATCATCAGGCATTAGATTGTCATAAGGAGTGCACAACCTAGATTCCTTGCATGTGCAGTTCACGATAGGGTTTGCGCCCCATGGGAATCTCAGGCGGGTGCTGATCTGATAGGAGGCAGAGCTCAGGCAGTAATGTGAGCAATGAGGAACAGCTGTAAATACAGATGAAGCTTCGCTCACTTGCTGCTCACCTCCTGTTGTGCGGGCCAGTTCCTAATGGTACTGGTTCATGGCCCGGGGCTTGAAGACGCCTCTATTAAACATTTCTTAAAAACTGTGATGGGTCAGCTCTTAGCTCTCTTGGCTATAAGTATGTGTGTAGGTACACACACATACACACACACACATGTGTTCTGTAATCTCTGCTTTGCACCATCATTTGATAAATTGTGCTTAAACTCCTTCGGTAAAGAAGTCCAGAGCTCATATTCTTTTCTTTAAAACTTTGCCTTTCTCTCCATCCCAGATGTGAAGTGCACATTAGAGGTACTAGTACTGTCAGAACATTTAGATCTCTCTCACCAATGTAGTCTTAAATATGGGGTTTAGCTGAATTCCTTCACTGAGGTGGTGCAAGCTTTATGCCCTGGAGTGAGCACTGTCCCCTTTGTTGGGAATCGATTCCTGGGTCTACATTCTGCCCATTGTCCCTATCTGCAGTCTGCCCCACTTTCCCATCTGCCCTACATGAAGCTGGTAATAAAATACCTGAGAAGGAGTTGACGTTTAATGAATGCATTAAAGAGCATTTACTGTGCCCTCATCATTGGGCAACTTAAGGATAAGACCTGTTCCTGATCATTGGGAGCTTGACTTAGTTGGACAGTTGAGCTACAGGGGCTTCAGTTATGAAAAAAATGCGAGGCCACATATATTTACGAGATTGAGGGAATAGTTCAGATAGCAAGTGCCATAGGAATCTAAGAAAGGAGAGAGCAGTGGGGTCTGAAAGGATGAAGTACTGTGGAGACAATGAGACTGACTTGGGATTTGGGGAGTGGCTAGTTTGGATTGGGAAGATGTTCCAAGCAAGAGGAAATAGGGTTTTTGTTGCAGAGAATGGGTAGTTAAGGTGAACACATTGGGCAGCTCTGGTTCTCATGTGACCTCAGGGCCAGCTGAAGCCTGGGCTCCAGGCTAAGGACTTGCTGGGGGCTTCTGAGCAGGGCCATGAGATAAGTATTTCAGGAGGATGACTCTGCCTGCAGCATGGGAGGAGGAGCAATGAGGTTCCACGAGCCTAGATGGAAGGAGAGCCTTAACCTGTGCCCAGCAGTCCAGTTGTGTTGGAGGAGGGCTGCATCTGAGTGGGGCAGTGAGAGCAGACAGACTTGGCCAGATAAGGGACTTGATAGATGATTGGACATGGGTCGAAAGTTAAAAACTTGACTCTAGTGGAGTCAGTGACTGATGCAAAGCAGGAGGGGACTCTTTTTCTGGTCTTTGGTGAAAGAAGGAAGAAGGCTGGTGCAATGTTAAAGCTCTGAGGGAGGGTGAGCCCTGGTCCCTTGAGTGTTACTACTACTGAGATATCATGCAGGCTGCTGCTGAATCTTCCCTTGTTCCTGACTGCCTCATTCCTGACCACAGGTGTTGTCAGGGCTTGTGTCTTTCAGCCATTTCCTTCTTATGATCATGTCAGCACTGTTTGTTCTTATCATGCGGGCATCGCTGTTCAGGTGTGATGCCATCTTGGATTGCAGGAGATTTCGTTAGGGCATCAAAGGGCCTGTTCACTCTGTGTCACACCTGGACACACTAATTTGTCTTGCTGCTGCCCTGCTTTGCTGGGAGGTGTGTGTGTGTATGTGTGTGTGTGCGTGTGTGTGTGTGATGTGTGTGTGTGTGTGTGTGTTTGTTGAAGGACTTATCAGCCTACACATAGCACATGGCCATTTCTTTCCTGGGCATTAGGAACTCTACATTACTTTGCTGTTTTCCCTGGTTTCTGTCCAAGAAGGGCCTAGGATATCTTTGTTCTGTTTTTGCAGTGTATCATCATATTTCACACCCTCCCTAACACACACACATACACACACACACACAATGCATATATGCTTTTTGCTTCTCTATGTCCCCTTCAGTTCTTACTTTATCCCATACAAGAGGATCTTTACCTCATCTTGGGGTAGAATGTGTGGGGGAAGGCATTGCTTTTCTTGTCAGTGCATCTTTCCAATTATTTTATCTATGTCAGGGATGAGGCATTTGGAGTCAAACACTGACTCCTGTGTTTTCTACTTTATGCTGCATCATTTGGTCACTGAGGTAATTAATACCACATGAGTAAGAGTAGGAGTAATAAGAAATATTAGAAAAAATACTAATAATTCAATATATGAAACAAATTTGAAATGGGAGTGCATCCTGCTCTTTTATTTAACATTGTGTTTTCACCATTGTCCTATTTTGTTACGTTCTTTTCAAAAACATATTTTTAAATGACAGCCTCATTTATTTAACTACCCTTCTATTGCTGGAATTAAATTTTTCTAAGATTTCTTTTTTTGAATTTCAAACAACTTAAGTGATGAAAAACAGTGTGCATAAGTCTTTGAGTACACTTCTCTTTATTTCCTTAATAAGAATTCCTAAGGGGGAATTACTGAGTCAAAGCAAATGAACATTTAAAGGACTCTTGATAATTGTGTCCAAATTGCCCTGCAGATAAGTTGTTGCAAACACTTCAAACTGCAGCACCTATTTATCCATGTTGTTAGCAGCCTTATTATTTTGAACATCATCAGTTATAGGATCTTTTCCATTTGAGATTTCATCTTTCCATGTAGTTTTAACTTGAAAGTCTTTATTTGTAGTGAGGTTATCTTAGTCTGTTTTCTTTTTACATTTTTATTTAATTTTTTTTAATAGAGATGAGGTTTTGCCATGTTGCCCAGGGTGATTTCGAACTCCTGGGCTCAAGCAATCCTCCCTCCTTGGCCTCCGAAAATGCTAGGATTACAGGTGTGAGTCACTATGCCTGGCTCTCTGTTTTCTGTCATTATAACACTTGAAGACTAGAAAGTTTATAATGGAAAGAGGCTTATTTAGCTCACAGTTCTGGAAACTGGGAGGTCCAAGATCAGGTGGCTGAATCTGGTCTTCTTCTGGTGAGGGTCTTGTGCTGCCTTATAACATGGCAGGGAAGTGGAAGGGGAAGTGGGTGAGAACGGAAGGGATATTAGGTCTTAATGACCTAATCATCTCTTAGAGGCCCCACCTCCCAACACTGCCACATCGGGGACCCAATTTCCAACACATGAATTCTGGGGACACACTCAAACCATAGCAGAGGTTGAATATTCAAATAAATAGTTTGGAAACTTCCTAGAGAAGTGAAACTGGTGTGGATCTGTAAGAGAAGAAATGCCTTGACAACCTTGGGAAGGGATTATCATCCATGCTCAGGAAGACAGGTGGGAATACGGGATGAGGAATGGGAAAATGAGAACTTGGACAAGATGGTAAGGTGGGGGATCTTCCTAGGAGGAGGCCACTAAGCCAGGACATCTAGTGCCCCTGAAACCTTCAACTACTCAGGAACCTCAGTATGATCACATTCACTTTTATTTGTAGCCATCATATTAAAAAAAACTTCTCTTTTTTTTTCCTAAGTAAACTAGAAGACAGAAAAACTGTAAGGCTGATATATAGCATATTCCAAGTGGGACCCATTTGCTGGCTAAGCAGTAGATCAGCACAAATTATGAGCATTTAGACATGTGTTAACCTACTAATTGAGGGTTGGGGGACACTAGATGATGAGGCCTCTAGTAGATGCCCTTGATCTGCCCTCTCCCGATTCCTGAAACACCAATTAACACTCTCAGTCAATACTAGAAAACATATGGTGAAGATAAACACTACCCTATAAAGAATATCACCCTGGCTTGTCACAGGACATTAACTGACCCGTACTGACACCCCTACGGGGGTGGCAGCAGCAAATTGTAATGGAAAAGTTACTGTTTTCCTATTTAACTTTCTGTGTGTGAAAAAGGCCCTCTTGATGTCTAAGAACAATATAAGAATGTTGTGCATATGTGTGTGTGTGTGTGTGTGAGTATGTGTGCGTGGGTGTGTGTTGGGTCTTTTGTGGTCTGCCTCATTCTCATTCTCGCTCACATGTGATCTTCTTACGATCTGACTGTTTCTGTTTCGGTATAAGGTCAGCCTAATTGCAAAGGTGGTTTGAGGAATGAATACATAATGTATTTTAAGAAGTCAGCCAAGTAACTTTCCAAATAAAATCTGAAATTTTACCATTGGTAAGTCATCTCTTTATGTATGTCAAGTGTTGACCCTTTCTCCAGGAGCTCCTATGCTATGGGAAGGACATGAGAAGTCCCTTAGTATAGACAAATTCATCACTTCATACTCTTTCCTGAAAGGAGAGATGGAGCCACCTTAGAGGCAGGGGATTCTTGTAGACTCCACTGCATGGACAGCAGTGCTAATATCCTAACTGAGAGCTTCTGTAGGGAATGTTCTCCACCCTGTGGCCCTTCCTTTCCATCCTGGGCTAGTGCCTCCCAGGACTCTAGGACTTTGCTTCCCCTGCTCTGCATGCCTGTGGTAGGCAGAATAATGGCCCACAAGTATGTCCATGTCCTAATCTCTGGAATCTGTGAATATGTTAGGTTATATGACAAAATAAATTAGAGTTGTAGATGGATTAAGGTTGATAATTAACTGACCTTGAAATGGGAAGATTATATAGGTTGAGTATCATTTATCTGAAATGCTTGGAACCAGAAGTGTTTCAGATTTCAGAATATTTGAATTTATACTTACTGGTTGAGCATCCTAAATCTGAAAACTTGAAATTCAAAATGCTCCAATGAGCATTTCATTTGAGTGTCATGTTGGGACTCAAAAAGTTTCAGGTTTTGGAGCATTTTGGATTTCATATTTTTAGATTTGGGATGCTTAACCTGTACTGAATTATGTAGATGGGTTCAGTGTAATCATGAGTCCTTATAAGTAGAAGGAGGCAGAATAGAGAGAGCACCACAGTGTGAGAAGGAGTTGGCCTGACACTGTTGACTTTGAAGATGATGAAATTGTATCATAAGCCCAGGGATGTTGGTGGCCTCTAGGAGCTGGAAAAGGCGAAGTAATGGATTTTCCCCTAGAGCCTCCAGAAGGAACACACTTCAGCCGACACCTTGAGTTTAGCTTAGTGAGACCCATTTTAAACCTCTGAAATTCAGAACTTTAAGATAATAAATTCACATTGTCTTAAATAACTGTTTGTGGTTGATTTGTTACAGCAGCAACAGGAAACTAATATAAAGCCCAAGTTGTCTGGCCCTGAGCTTGGGAGCCCAGTAAGGACATTGTCTGAACCCCCATCAAGCTCAAGGTTGTGGTTAGTCTCTAGGATGATGTATACTGGTTATTTAGTAGAAGCTTATAACTGCTAGGACTGAGACGTCTCAGAAGGTGCTGCAGAATGCTTCTAAACTGGCCCAACTAGGTTGGTGAGGGGATGAGAAAGATGCATGTTTGATACTCTGAGGCCTGAAGCATTTTCTATCCCCCTTTAAATAATTAAAACCTACTGTCCACTAAAATTCTCCTTGTGTTCCTGTTCATCTTAGGCAGTTTCTCCAGGAGAGTTGTGCTTCTCAGAACCTGAAGAATTATGAACAAGGTTTTTGTCTTCAAAGTATTGGCTGATGATAAACATATAGTCATTCACTTATTTATACAATGCATATTAACTTAAAGTTTTCGTTGTGTAAGCTGGCATGAGGATGCATTTCCTCTGCTTAGGAAATGTAAACCTGTGAGAAGGTTGAAAGCAAGGACATTGGTCCATTCATTTGTTCTTTTATTTATTAACTTGGGGTGGGCACCTACATGTGCTAGACAGTAGGCTAGGCTCAGGGATACAGTGTTGATAGACTTTATGAAAATGACTTTATAATTTTTGTTGTGTTGAGTTCCATGATGATGGAAGTTTTGCTCCTCCTTCCTTTCCTGCCTCCTTCGCATTGAGTTCCTTTCATATTCCCAGGCTTCTTGTTATGTGGCATAGCACCTATTAAGGTGCCATGAGAACATGTAATGGAGCCTATTCAGTGGTGGTTCAGCGTTTGGTTGGAGGGTGTGTTACAGGAAATAATGGGTGGCCGTGCCGGGGTGATGGGCTGATTGAGAGCCATTGCCATTGGAGGTTTTCAAAGCAGCTCAGGAAATGGGAACCTTGGGGAAAGTGGAGAGCTGAATAAAGTCTGGCTGGTCTTATTTCCAAGGAAGAGAGATAATCCTGTTGGGGGAGAGATCAAGCCAGGTTTTGACACCCAATACTTGTTCCTCTAACACCATTTCCTAGAGAACTCTGGGTAAAAGAAAAAATGGACACTTTGGAACATTGGAATTAGTCTTTAAAATGGGATAGATCATTTATTGCAAAGCGTTGTCTTCCCTTGAAAGGAATTTAGTATTCTGGGCAAGTTTGGTTTGAGACAGAACTTTGAGTGCAGCCACAAGAGCAAACCAACATCTACTCTTAGGGCCAGAAGAGCCAAATTATTTTTAGAAATGAGTTTACTTTTTTTCAGGTGACACAATAATGATGCAAGTGTAAGACAGCAGCATATCGAACAAAGAGGTGGGGCCATAAAAGCAAAGGGTCAGATTGTAACAATGTCCGAAGGATGTGGACCACAGGAGGGCAACTCCAGAGTGCTTAAAATGGAGTTGCTTGGGTAATGAGCCAAGGAAGTATCTGTGAGTCATCCTACTTATGTTTCCAAAATAGACTCACTGACCTGATTTAAGAGGCATTAAAAGGGATGAAGTTGACATTTGCAAATACATTTAACTTATTTGTCTTGTAAGCAGGGAACATGTTGGGACAACTTTCAACTGCATAATGTGTGGTCTAGGAGCTTTGATCTCTTTATGCTTTCTTTATATTGAGAAAAAGCTTTGAAGTATCCTGCAATTATGAATACAGTAGACACCTGTTGTAATGGGTTGCTGTGAAATTGATTTGACTCTACCAAGGGTCAACTCCTGTCTCCTGATGAAATCCTCATGTGCTTTAAAATCCTTTTTCCTCCTAGTAACTTAAGAGAAGAATGTTAGTCATACTTCCTATTTTCAGCCCAGGGAGGGTTATTTACCATTTTAACTTTTCCTTTAAGTCATTGATTAGATAGGGTATCTGTTCAAGAATGGCTGTCACATTGGCCAATACAAGTGGAGGTGACGTGATTCTCATGCATTTACTTCTGGGTAACTGTTTTTCAGTTGAAATGAACTTTTGAGTGATGGTGGTGATTTTGATGATGCCTTTTCTTATGACTATTCTGTTGAGTAGGGGAACTAAAGCAAAAAGTAAAGGTAGTCTCGGCTTTATATTATCTGTAGATCATTGATAGGTTAAGTTTGATTTAACCTGATGCTTTAGAGCATATGAAAAACAAATCTTGTGTTTGATCAGCTGAGTGTCTCTTTCTGAGCTCATTGCCTAGGTTTTCCTAATTGGACAAAGAATTGGGCAATTCTACAGCTCTGGCAATTCCACCTTTGCCATGTATTGGGACTCAGAGCCAAGAGTCCCTGAAGAGGGATGGCATGCACCTGTTGGTCACTGTAACTCCTGGCTATTCCTCAGGGGACAGGACAGAGTTGTAGAACATATTTGTGTTTCCACCAAACAAACATAACTTTCCTTTTGCTCCTCCTTCCTTTCCTGCCTCCTTCACATTGTGTTCCTTTCATATTCCCAGGCTTCTTGTTATGTGGCATTAATATCTAAGTGGTAGAGATGGGTAACTAAGAATAGAGTACTCATGTTACCATGCTTGTGCACCCCTTCTGCCCTGGGAGCGCTCTGCATGGGATATGGGACTTTGCCTAGGTTTTGCCAAACCCTTGTCAAACCTTTTGCGAAACCCTTACCAATGGAATGGGTCATGAGGACCCAGTGGATTTTACATCTTCTGGGTGAGTCTAATTCTCTATAGCTTGGGGCTGGGTTAAGAGGTTGGGGAGCAAAAGCATGGCCTAGGTATCAAGTACATCTCCTGTGGTGGGGAGAGGTGGTGTCTTCATGATTTGGGGAGTGTTGCTTTAGACTTAAACAATGAGTACTGGAACTCCAACTGTGAGACACTGGTCTTTAATAAGTGCATAATAATCTCGCACTGGAATGACTTTCACTTCAGGAAGATCAGTTTTCGGTCCAAAACCCATTCATAGTGCTCCTTTAATGAGAAAAATAGTGACCTCGTATGAGGGAAATCTGTTTAGAGCACAAATAACTATTATTACAATTTTAGATAACCCAATCTAACAGAAGGCCATGTGATTGAAAGGACAGACGATAAAATCTAAATACGAGTAAAGCCTGAGAATACACCTTTTCTTCTAATGCTGACTGTCTAGTTGTGTTTGTTATCTAACCCTGTAATTAGGATGGCATTCAGAAAATATGAGAAAAGTTGGTATTCTTTTCATAACCCCCAAATCTTTGCATTGCTGCATGAAACTTTTGGCTTCAGCTTTTCCCTGTTCATTAACCATGCCAAAATTTTTAATCTAACACCACTATTAAAGAGTGGCAGGCTTCCAGGGAAATATATCAGCCAGGCTTATTAATTTCATGCCAAGTGCTGGAGGCGTGAATGTAGAGAACGCTGTTTGACTTTGGATAATAGGAATCAGGCAGCTTAAAGGCAAGGGATAAAGATCAGGAGCCCTGCGTCTCAGGAGGAGGAGCAGGTGCAGGCTTCAAGCAAGGCCTTCAGGCCCAAAGGGGCAGCCCATGCTTAAAACAATCTGCAGTGCTGTTTTTTTTTTTTTTTTTTAATTTGGCGTGTGCCTCTCACAGCTTAACAGACCGCTGCTCCACAAAGAGGGGTAAACAGAGAAAGGGAAATTAAAAAGGGAAGTCCCCAGGTAGACAAAAACAAATTAGGGCAAACAAATTACACAGAGTCAACAAATAAACAAGGGAACATCTGTGAATATATTTCTTGGATTTTCTGATACTGAATGCAACCTGAGAGATGGTAGAGGGAGGTGAGGAGTATAATCTAGAGCAATGTCCTCTTTGGAGGGAATGAGCAAGCTGAACACAAGAAGAGCAAGAGGTACCTGAAGTGGAACTGGTGAGAGTTCACGGGAGGAGGTCAGAAGCTCTCCAGGTGATGATCTGACCGGCCGCACCTACATGAGCTGGTCTTCCTGCTTCCCCTGCTGCACCCTCTGTCTGTCACCCAACCATGCCTTGAAGGGTGGTTTTTGCCATGGGCTCTGCCGACCATCACATAGGAAAGGGCTGTAGAAATATAAAGAAGTAGCAGTCCATTTATATAAGCAAACAAAATAAAGCTAGCAACATTCCAATAGAGGATGTATGTTCACCTTATCCATTTTTCACATCTGTTCCTAGTGGGCACACTTAGCTCTTCCAACCACTAGACATTTGCCAGGTGTTGCCTGGATGTTGGGAAACATTTAAGCTATACCTTCTGGCCGTTTGGTTGCTGCTGACACAATTTCCCTTTTACCCTGAGGCTGTTGAGATGATTTCAAGGTTTTAAAGGAAGTTCAGCATATTGCATACTGTTAACCAAAGGCATAACTGCATTTAGAAACAGATGAAAAGAGTAGGAATTGGTTTACAACATCTTCCGTGGATCCTCTCCCACTGTGGAATGTGGGCAAATATAATAAGGAAGTGAAGAAATTATAAGTATTTGATTTATTCACTACATAACTCAAATGATACTCAGATAATTTCTAAATTTTTTCCTTTGGATTCTTTAAGCTTCATGAAGTGGTCAGTTGTTTAGGGTCTAAACTGTTCTTTTCTAATCTGATTGTTGTGCTAAGTGCCCTATCATTCCTGCTGCCTTGAGCCTTCATCATGCAGATGATAACCTACTAGAAACACCCAACAAAGTGGGAACTTTTTTGTGTATGTGTACATGCAAGAGTGAAATAAGCCTGCAATTCTCCCCCTATTCCTCACTTACATATTTTTGGTTTATTGCTTATTCCTGAATGGGATACAACAAGTAAGCTGTGCAATAGAAGACTTTTACTAGATGTGGTCAATGTGCAAATCTAAGAACAGTACAATGATGTTAGACAACTATATTCGAAGTAGTTCAGCAGTTAGGATTTGTTCTATGAAGCTAACAGTGTAGGGAATAACAGTAAGCAGAAAGGTAATACTAATCAGTAACTCATTGAATCAGTGGTGGAGACACCCAGGCACATTTCCTGGCCAAGGTGGGCATGTTTTGTGAACTTTGTTGAATTATTTGACTTCTGTTTGCTGATTTGTAAAATGAGTGTAACCGTGTTTTTTTAGTCCTTCAAGAAATGGTAGGAAGTACAGCCAGTGTCTATGAGATACCTTCAGTTCTGGACAGAAATTATCAATAAAAATGCTAGCCTCCATTTATTATTAATTCTCATGTACAGTGTTGCAAGGGACCTTGTGAGGTCAACCTGTTCTCACCCCATTTGCAGTGCTTGTTATTTGGAATCCTAGAGAAACACAATGATGGATTATTCCAAATTTCTTTGTGTCAAGATATTAAGATGAGGTACCCAATTACTATCAAAGCCCCGCTAAAAGCTCATTGTAGGATGCAGGAGATCAATATCATCAAATATTTTTTGGGTATCTATTGGGTGCTCTGTGTTTCATTTGTAACTATTTGCTGTGATTTAGAGTTAAAATCTACAGGCTCCTCCTTGCATATTTAGTAAGTTTTCTCCCCATTCAGTTTAGAGAAAAATCTTTAAATTTCTTTTATAAGCTGAACATGCCTCTCTGGAATGAATTTGTAAGAAATTTGTAAAGAATCCATGTTTCATGCCAATTCTGGAGAGAAGGCATAGAAAAATCTCCATAGAATAACATGTGACTTCAAAGGCTACTGCTACAGTAAACCTAAAAGGATAAACAGAATATGGTTTGTAATACTGTTACGATTCCACTTACATAAGAAACCAATGTTTAATGACAGTATTTGTTGTCTCATAAGTCTTACAGACAATTATTTTACTATAATTATGTTTCTAAAAACTTTCTGAGAAGCCTTGATACCAATCTGCTTACTCTGTTTGATGATGTAACCAAACCAGCACTAAGCACATGCTACATACTTTCCATATCCCTCTAGAACACCAGAGGATATGGGCAACTACAAGCTTAATATGAATCATAGTGTACTTAGGGGGAGTCTATTTCTTGGGATTTCAAATCATTCTGATGATTTTGGCAATCAGCATATTTAGTACCTCTTTTTATCTAATTTTTCTGGATACCTCATGCCTATGAACTTAAGTTATTTTCTTCTGTTACATCAATTTAAAATTTATAAGTTAGAGCTGGAGGAAACTAGTAATGGTCCTTTGTTAATGTGCTAAAATACTTTGAAATCATTGGAAGAGCAGTGCTGTGGAAATTCAAGGTAGTTATTAGTTTAATTAACCAAATAATTTAATAAATCCAATTAGTTCTTAACTTTGTATTGCTTGTAGCCTATTAAAAAGTAATTACCACTCATGCTTTTGATTAAGATTGAGTAGCTAGTATCAGACTAACTCTCCTGCTAAGAACATCTAGAAAACAGACATTTTTAAAGGCAGCAAAGGGAAATCAAGGCAGTCAGGACTTGACAGGTCAAGATCCCAAGAGAGGGAGAATGCATTAAAGTGAGGCCTACATTCCCTATCAATTTTTCCTTTTGGGACGTTTACAAGTTGTGGGGCAGGGTGCAGAATCTGAACAGAAGGGTCGTAGAAGGATACTCATTGGGCTAGGAGTCAAATATTAGGGTTCAAGTTTCCTGAGGCAGTCAGGACTTGAAGAGCAGGATACTAGAGGAAAGTTTACTATAAAATATTGAGCCCCGTATTCTACCTGCAATTTCCCCTACAGTCATTTGTCACATTTTAAGAAGTACATATGTGGGATGAGATGCTGATTAACTAAGCAGAAAGTAGCTGCAAGACGGTAAAAAGCTAAGCAGAGAGGGTAGAGTCACTGTGCTGAGAAGGCTCAACTGGAATTCAGGAGGAGGGACTCTGGTAAATACTCTAGGCTTTCAGTTGAGATTCCCAAAGGGTCAAGAACTAGGAACAAGGGAAAACCAGAAGTAGACTTACCTTGCCTGGATCGAGATGATCTAATAGTTCTCCATCTGTCTTCAAGAAAAAAAAATTAAATCTTCTCTGTGGACTTATACACAGAGAGGGTTGCTTATACATTAACATAGAAAAAATTAGCTGGCATGATAGGAAACAGGACCAAAAGACTAAAACCAAAACAAACTGCCACACCCCTAAAACTCCAAACAAAACAAACCCCCAAAACAACAAACAAAACAAAAACCCAAGGGGGAAAACAAGACCTACAAATGATTCAGATTTGGGGTTGTCAGACACAGGCATGTGTTCAAATAAGTATGATTAATGTGCTCAACAAAATAGAGAAGAAAATTAAAAATTTCACAGAGAGCAAGAACCAATAAAAATGAATCAAATAGAAATTGTCTAATTCAAATTCCTGTTACTAAGTTTAATAATTCAATAGATGGTTTAATAACAGATTAGAACTCAGTAAAAGGATTGTTTAATTGGAAGATAGGCCAGCAAAAACTATCCAGATTAATGCACAAAGGGAAAAAAAAGAATGAAAAGTATGAAATATATGATACAGATGGAAAATTGTGAGTGGCCTAAATATATGTAATTGGAGTTCCAGAAAGAGAAAAGAGAGAAAATGGGTCCATGTAACAGTATAATGTGTCAAATAAGTAATATTTGAAGATAAATTGGCTGAGAAGTTTCACAAACCCATGAGATATCAAACCATAGAGGCAGGAGTTTATGTATCATTAAGTAGCATAAATGCAAAGAAAACTACACGTATGCACACAATAATAAAATTGATGAAAAAGACAAAAACATCTTAAAAGTTGCCAGAAAAAAAGAAACATGTTCACAGCAGCAGCAATATGATTTACAACTGACTTTTAAGAGAATTCATGAAAGCTAGGTAATGATGGAATGGCATCTGTAAAGTGTGGAAAGAAAACAGTCTACCTAGCATTTTATACTGAGGAAAATATTTTCAAAATGAAGATAAAACAAAAATGACATTTTGAAATAAACAAAAGCTTAGGGAATTCATCTTTTGCAGAAAAAAAAAAAAAACCCAAAACTGTAAAGGGATTTCTTCAGGTGGAAGGAAAATATTCCCAAATGGAAATGTGAAACTTCAGGAAGGAATGAGGAGAATGGGTAAGTATGTAAAAAATATAAATCAATATACTGCCTGTTTAAAACAACAATTATAATGTAAGGTTTAAAATGTTTCTAGAATATAAATATAAGACAACAATATCATACAAGGGAGACGGACTGTGTAAATTAAAGTGTCAAAGACCCTTGTGTTTTCTGAGAAGTGGTAGAAGTATTAATATGCAGTAAACGATAATAAGTTAAAAATGCATGTTGTAATTTCTAAGGCAACCACTAAAAAAATAGCAAATAATCCCTATGTAACAAGCCAGTGGGGGAGGGAATGAAACAATTTTTAGAAATATTTCAATTATCACAAGAAAGACAAGATAAGAGAAAAAATGGGGAAAATATATGTTTACAAAAAGAAAATAAATTGTAGGGTAGCAGATTTGAACCCAAATATATCCATCTTTATATTAAATATAAACGGACTAAATTCTTCAAGTTAAATAAAATATTATCAGAATGTATAAAAATAAAAATCCAGTTATATTATACTTAAAAGAGTATAAGAACACACAAAAAGTATAAGAACACACAAAAAGTTGACGGTCAAAGGATAAAAGATACATCAGGTTCTACTAACTATTACTATCAATGTAGATTTTAGGGCAAAAAGTATTATTACATAAAAGGGTTTTTCAACTCAGCACTATTGGTATTTTGAACTGGATAATTCTTTGTTGTGAGGGACCATCCTGTGCATTGCAGGATGCTTATAAGCATCCCTGACCTTTACTCACTAGATGTCAGCAACATTCCCCGCCCTGAATCATGACAACCAAGAATTGTCTTTAGACCTTGCTAATGTCCTCAGTTGAGAAGCACTGTTATATATAAGAAAAGGCATTTCACTATATTAGAAGCGTCATTTCAAAAGGAAAATAAAAATAAAACAATCCTAAATTGAAATGTTATTCCTCTTCCAGCGTAAGCATTAAGGTTATAAATTTTTCTCTAAGCGCTGCTTTACTTAAGTTTCATGACTTTTTTTTATTGCATAGGTTAATCGGTAGTGAATTGCTTAATTTCCAATTTTCCAGTTCTATATAGAACACCGTACTGAACAACTGTAGACGTATAGTTTCTTTTCAAGTACATGAGAAACATTTGCCACAATACACTGTAAGCTGGGTCATAAAATGTGTCTCAACAAATTTCAAAAAGTCAAAATCATATGGAGTATGTTCTCTGAACATAGTGGAATTCTGTATAAATTTTAACAGGATGGAGGAGAAAATAAATATGATCATCTCAAAAAATTAAGAAACAGCATTTGATAAAATTTAACACCAGTTCATGAAAAAATCCTTTGCAAAGTAGAAATAGAAAGTAACTTTCTTAATAATAAAAAGTATTTTTAAAAGCTAACCACAAATGTCACTTTTAATGATTAAACACTAAAAACCTTGCCCCTGGTGTCAAAAATGAAGCAAGGATGTCTGCTATTGCCATTTTTATGAATCATTGTATTGGAATTCCTAGTCAGTGCAATAAGACAAGAAAATGAAACAAAAGACATATGTAATATGTAGCAAGAAATAAAACTGTTTTGGTTTGTGGATGATAGGACTGTATACTTGGAAATTCCAAAAGAATCTACAAAAATTGACTATTAGAATTAATAATAGTTAATTTAGCATGGCCACTGTATACAACAAAGTCAATATATAAAAATCAATTGTATCTGCATATATCAGCCACATCAAATTAGGAAATGATTTTTAAAATTTTACTAGCATCAAAAAATATTAAATAGGGAAAATAAAGATATGCAAGTCTTCTACACAGAAAACTATAAAATATTGCTGAAAGAAATTAAAGTAGAAAGAAATTAAGTAGGAAGCTGTAACAAGTTAATGGATTAGAAGGCTCAATATCATGTCAATGAAAAGAAGTAAACTCTGTAAAATATTTGAAGAGCTTTATTTTGAACCAAATATGAGTGGCCAATGGCCCATGACACAACCTCCAGGAGATCCTGATAACATGTGCCTAAGGTGATTGGGTTATAACTTGGTTTATACATTTTAGGGAGACATAACATATCAATCAATGCATGTAAGATATACATTGGTTTGGTCTGGAAAGTTGGGACAACTGAAAATGGGGGAGGTGCTTACAGGTCATGGGTAGATTAAAATATTTTCTGATTGGCAGTTGGTTAAAAGAGTTAAGTTATTGTCTAAAGATTTAGAATCAACAGAAAAGAATGTCTGGGATAAGATAAGGGGTTGTGGAGACCAAGGTTTTATCATGCTGATGAAGCCTCCAGGTAGCAGGCTTCAGAGAGAATAGATTATAAATGTTCCTTTTTGTTTGTATGTTTTTGTTTTGTTTTTTTTTGAGACGGAGTCTCACTCTGTTGCCTAGGCTGGAGTGCAGTGGCACAATCTTGGCTCACTGCAAGCTCTGTCTCCTGGGTTCACGCCATTCTCCTGCCTCAGCCTCTCGAGTAGCTGGGACTACAGGCACCCGCCACCACACTCAGCTAATTTTTTTTTTTTTTTTTTGTATTTTTAGTAGAGATGGGGTTTCACCATGTTAGCCAGGATGGTCTTGATCTCCTGAATTCGTGATCCCCCCTCCTCGGCCTCTCAAAGTGTTGGGATTACAGGCATGAGCCACTGTGCCCAGCCATAAATGTTTCTTATCAGACTTAAAGAGTCTATTAAGACTCTTATCAGTTTTAAAGTTTCTGTGTTCATGTTAATGCTGGTCAGCTGTGAGTCATATCTGACTCCCCACTTCCTCTCATGGCCAAAACTAGTTTTTCAGGTTAACTTTGGAATGCCCTTGGCCAAGAGGAGGAGTCTGTTCAGATATTTGGGCAGCTTAGAATTTTATTTTTGGTTAACAATTGAAAAGATGGGTATTCTCACCAAATTGAAATATAGATTCAATGCCATCTTAAGAAAAACTCTAGCATTTTTTTTTTTTGGTGGAAATTGACAAACTGATTCTGAAATTTATATATACATGCAAACCATCAAGAATAGTAAAGACAATCCTGAAGAAGAGTGAAGACAAACTTAAAGAGTATAGAATTCCAGATTCCAAAACTTCTTATAAAGCCACAGTAATTAACACTACTTCCTTGGTCCAAGGATCAACACATTGGCTAAAGGAACAGAAGAAAAAGTCCTGAAACAGACCCGCATATATCCCTGGCCACCTTATTTATGACAAAGGTGCCACAGTAGTACAGTGCCAAAGGCTATTTTTCTTCCTTCAGTAAATGGTGATGAATCAACTGGTTGAAATTTGGGAAAAAACAAAACAAAACAAACTTTGCTACCTATCCCGGACCATAAACAAAAATAAATTCTTAGATCATGGATCTTAATGTGAAATAAATTTTCCAGAATATAACAATGTATTTAATGTATTAGAGAATGTACTTAAAACCTTGGAACATGCAAAGATTTCTTTAAAAAGATGCAAGAAGAACAAACCATAAACTGAAAGGCTAGTGCACTGACTTTATTCAAATTGAGAATATTTTCTTTTCTCTCTCTTTTTTTTTTTAGAATTCATTGTGCATTTATTTAAAATTTATTTGTTCATAGCTATACATATATTATACACGTATACCTGTTCACAGCATAAAGTATTTCATGACATAGTTATAAGAGTCAGTGTTCTATGAATTCACTAGAGAAGTTACAGCATTTTGATTATGATACATGAAAAGAAACCCAAGTCATTTAGCTTAACTCCTTAATTTCATAAACCAGAAAACTAAAATCCAAGATAGATTAGGTGACTTGGTCTAGATCACAAACCAAAGTTAGCCATAATTCAGTAGTGTAATGCCTGGTCCAAAACCTCATAGATAATCTTATAATCAATGGACTCTTTCGGAATGCTAGTCAAAATGTCCTTTTGTGTGAATTTTAATGTACTGTCATCAACTGCATGATATTCTTCCCCATACACAAAGTGTTATCTTTTCATTGTGCACTTCAAAATTTTCCTTGTTAATATTAAAGTTCTAGGAAAAAAGGCTAAGAATAACTGCACATTTATTGAGTATCTCAGTGTGCATCATACCATTTGGTCATGTGAGGTTACAACAAGTGAAAAACAAACATAAAATCCTTAAATTAAAATAAAAAGAAAAAACTTTGCCCTGACTATGTTACAGAATTATCATCCATAAATTTACTTTTCTTGAAAAATTTATTTTCTTTAATTTCGTTTCCTGTTATATGATTTATATTTAAATTTACATTTATTTATCCAGAGACTATGTCCAAATTTTATGTCCTCTTTTCTGTTATCCTGGAGTTTGGTGAAGAAATCTGTACTTAATTTAAAAAAGAAATCCCTCTAACTGACAATGTTGTCAGTTAGCTAACTATATATTTCTTAGGCCCATGTCAAGTATCATTGCTTATTTTAATAAAGAGTGTTTACTTAGACTAAGAAAATAGTAAATAATTAATAAGGGATGGCATCCGTTAAGTATAAACACTGGATTATTTTTCATAACATGACAGATCAACAATATCGTTTTGAGGCTGAACTCCTTTACTTCTTTTACTGTAAGCTATTGAAGCCAAACTGCTTCCTACCTTTGTTCATCTATGATGGTGTAAAATTTTAAAATTAGGATCTACATACAGAACAATGCAGAATTATATAAAAATATTTGAATATTGAAAAATAAAGTGGAAATTATTATTATTATTATTATTTAGGTACAGGGTCTTGCTCTGTCACCCTGGAGTGCAGTGGCATGATTACAGCTCACTGCAGCCTCAAACTCTTGGGCTCAAATAATCCTCCTACCTTAGCCTCTCTCTATTAACTAGGCTGGTCCTGAACTCCTGGCAGCAAGTGATCCTCTTGCCTTGGCCTCCCAAAGTGCAGGAATTATAGGCATGAGCTACAATGCCTAGTCCTGAAATTACTATCTTCTTCCTTAACCCCACCCCCCACAAAAAAAACAAAAACTTCCTTTTTTCTTCATATTTACATTTTAATTGTATATGCTGCAATGGGCTATTTGTATCACCCCAAAGTCATGTGTTGACATCCTAACCCCCAATATGATACATTAGGAGGTGGGGCCTTTGGGAGGTAATTAGGTCATAAGGGTAGTGCCCCCATGAACAGGATTAGTGTCCTTATAAAAAGACACATAAGAGCTTGCTTTTTTTCTCTGCTCTTGCTATGTGAGGATGTAGCAAGAAGAGGACCATCTGCAAACTAGGAAGTGGGCCCTAACCAGATACCATATCTGCTGGCACCTTGATCTTGCACTTCCTAGCCTCCAGACTGAAAAATAAATGTTTGTTGTCTATGACACTCCATCTATGGTAATTTGTTATAGCAGCCCAAAGTGACTAACACAGATGCTTACAAATTGAGATTTATTTTAAAAACTATTCTCTTGCTGTGAGTTCAATATTTTTATTTCTTTACAATGATTTCAGAAGAGATTACAAAGAGATTAATATACTTAAAGAATCAGACTCTTGCAAACAGTGACATTGTTAAAAAGGGCTTAGTTTCATTAACATGTGATTAGCAGGAAGGAGATGATTGGTGAGTTTTCTTCATAGCCAGGTTCACTGTGGATAGGAAGAGCCTGCCTTCCTTCCCACCATGGAGATCCTAAAATCACAAGCTCCATCCTCCATCAATGATGACAGGGTTACCAGTTACATAAGCAGATTCATCAGAAGCCACATACACGCAGAGCATGGCTATTTCTTCTGCAGTTGCAAATCGTCCCATCTTTTGTCTCTTCAGGAAATCATTCCGTGCCTCTTCAGGATTTCCTCTGGCTTGTATTCTTTCTTGTAGAGATGGCGTATCAACCGTTCCTGGGCACACACAGTTGCACCTGATGCCCTGCTGGATGAAATCTGCAGCCACAGATTTTGTGAGGCCAATCACGGCTGCCTTGGTTGTGCTGTACACACATCTGTTCACAACTCCTTTGATGCTGGAAACCACAGAAAACATGGTGATAATATTGCCAGATTTTTGAGCAAGCATTTTAGGAAGGAATGCCTTGATCATCAGGTACGTGCTGCGCACATTGAGATTCATCGAGAAGTCCCAGTCTTTCTCCTCACAATCCAGGACAGTTCCATGATGGACAAAACCAGCAACATTAAAGAGAACATCAAGTCTCTCAACTTCATTGGCGAACTGATCAATTTGTTTCTTCTTTGTGACATCAAGGACACGAGTTTGAATACCCAGGTACTTTTCCAGTTCCTGAAGTTTGGACACATTAATGTCTGTGGCTATGACTTTGGCACCTTCTCTTACAAAAGCTAAGGCAGCTGCTTGGCCAATCCCCTGAGCAGCGGCTGTCAGGATGATGACTTTCCCATCAAGTTGACCCATCATGGAACCCTGTGGTTTAATTTTAAGCAGCGAGCTGCTGGCGTTCTTCAGAACTCGGTGGGAGCAACAAACTCTTTTTTTTTTTTTGAAACAGAGTTTCACTCCTGTGGGCCAGGATGGAGTGCAATGGCACGGTCTTGGCTCACTGCAACCTCCTCCTCCCGGGTTCAAGTGATTCTCCTGCCTCAGCCTCCCAAGTACAAATTACAGGTGCCTGCCACCACACCTGGCTAATTTTTGTAGTTTTAGTAGAGACAGGGTTTCACCTTGTTGGCTAGGATGGTTGCGAACTCCTGACCTCAGGTGATCCACCTGCCTTGGCCTCCCAAAGTGCTGGGATTACAGGTGTGAGCCACTGTGCCCGGCCAAGAATCTTTTCTTACTTTAAGGAGAATAAAATGGCAAGCAACAGAGGAAGATATTTACATTAGACAGAAGAAAATATTTACATTATAAATATCAGACAAAGGACTAGCATCCAGAATTTATTTAAAAATTTCCTACAAATAAGAAAAAATCAGTTAAAAGTGGACAAGAGACTCAAACTGGCACATTTTAAAAGGGAGTACCTCCATAGCCAACAGGCATATAATATAAAAAGTTGCTCAACATCAACAGCCATTAGGGAAATGCAAATTAATACCACAAGGAGCTCCAGCTAACCACCTATGAGAATGCTTAAAATTTTACAAATTGACAATACTAAATGTTGTAGAGGATGTGCAGAATTGAAATTTTCATTGAGTGTAAATTGGTAAAATTACTTTGGAAAACTTTGACAGTATCTTTTAAAGCTTAATATATGCATACCTGATGATGCAGCAATTCCCCTCTTAGGTATAAACCCAACAGACATTCACAGGTGTGTGTACCAAAAGGCATATACTAGAATGTTTGTAGCAGCATTATTCACCATTGCCAAAACTGGAAACAATTCCGATGTCCATCAAAGGTAGAATGAATGAACAAATTGTGGTACATTCATATAATGGAACAAACAATGGCAACAAAAAAGAATGCATTAATGCTACCCACCACAATGTAGATTCATCTCATGGACATAATATGTGAGCAAAAGAAGTCAGATATAAAAGAGTGCATTTGGTATAATTCCATTAATATAAAGTTCAAAACCAGGCAAAGCTCATCTATTGAGGTAGAAGTCAGACTTGTAGTTGCATTTGGTTGAGTTAATGACTGGGAGGAGCCATGAGGGAGGCTTCTGGGGTACTGGTAGCACCCTAAATCTTGACCTGGTGCTAGTTATGCAAGAGTGTTCAGTTTGTAAAAATTTATGAGATGTACACATCCCTTTGTGCACAATGGTGTATTTTTACTTTAATCAAAAGTGGACAAAAAACAATTACTACCCAATAATCTAGAGATAAACCATGGAGTTGCTTTTCCAGGGTAGTGGAGCAGTACTTTCAGTGGAGTTGAATTATACGAGGTTTCTAAGTTCAGCCTTCTAAAAGGGAAGATTGTCTTCAGGTTTCTCTAATTCTTGTTCAGTGGAATTTACCTGATGATTAGGTTGTTATGCTAAATATGAGCCGTGATATATATTTTTTTCCTTTTACCAGTTAGGCGGTCAATTGAGTCTGGTTAAATAACAAAGGGTTATTTAAAGAATCTTGATAAAAGCCACACTTGGGATTAACAAACTTTTTTTTTTTTTTAATTACCTTCTTTCTAGAACTAAGGGGCCAAGGATGAATTGGTAAAGTTTTTTATGCCTGGATTTTAAATCAAAGAAAAATTATCTCCAGTCTGGCATCTTTTGGGGCAAAACAAACAGAGACATGTGGGCGATTCTGAGGGTGGGGATCATGGGACTTAGGGTTGGGGATTGAGAAGAGCCAAGAGAGCAGTAGGAGGGAGGGAGAGTGTCAGAGGCCGAGAGTTAAGAGACAGCCAAGGAACCTGAAGTGAATTGGTATTTGTTCATTTGGATATGTAAAGCACCTAAGGGAGAGGAAAACAGGTGCAATATGAATGCATTAATGGAATGAAATATGAGGCTTGACCTATGAATAAATATTCAGAATAAAAGCATTTTAAAATGTATCTTGGTTTTAGGGCACTTACTCTGTCTGGCAGATAATTCAAAGTTTTCATGGCCATACACACTCACATGGTTTGTCAGCTTCGGATCCACCTGAGACACACTCACCAAAGATCTCAGGGTCTGTGTGCCTCCTCCTCCCTTTTTATGGCTCAGTCTTGTTTTCTAAAGTACATAGTCTGCCTAAATTACTTGAAACAGGACTCCTTATCATATGGATTCAGATATTCCAATTATGTCAGCAGAAATCATGACCTAGGACAAAAGCTCCCGACAGTAGTCCTAGAGGACGGTTAGTCCATGCCATTAAGAAAAGAATTTGATGGCATCTCCACTATGGCCTGAGAATTGCTCCAGCCCAGTGATCCAAATTTTACCAGAAATCTGTTACTAAAAGGGATATTGTTAGTTTTTCCCCCCTTAGGCTTGTGACAGGTTGGAGACCCCCAGTAGTTCAGATCTGTGGGGAGCATCTCTGAAACACAGAGGAATCAGCTTTCAAAATGATTACTTTAGCCTGGAGACCAGGAAACTGAATGCCACCCTAAGTTGTCTCTCTGGCCTGAGACATGAGAGCTGAGAGGAGACTTTCAACAGTTTAAAGAAGTAGCCCACTGCCCTTCTGCCCAATTACTGAAAAGTTTTCTTCTGACTCAAAGGAGGACATTGATGGGGACAAGCTAAGATCCCTGCAGCACATCCAGGCATATGTTTACCTGCCCAGAAGCAGCACTCAGACTTCTCCATCCACAGCAATGCCCAAAGCTTGTTCCCTTCTGCTTTATCCTAGGGTTGGCCTGCCCTCTCTGTACTGGCCACGGAGGGTGCTGGTCTGCCTTACCGCTTTAGAAATCCAAAGAATTGTTCCACTGGGTCCTAGTCCATGAAGAGTTCAGTTTATCAGGTTAATCTCAGGAGATAAATAAACAAATTCAAAGATAATTTTGTACTTGAAGTTGAATAAAAATCTTTTGATTCTTCTTGCTGTTCAACACTGAATCAAGGCCTTCTCATTCAAAAATAAAACAGTAACCTATTTGCTATAGTCCTGCTAGTTTTAGGTGTCTGAGTTTTAGGTTTATGGTAAATGCTACCTCACAAGATTAAGACAGAAATCTACTTGAACAATTCATAAAAAAATAAACAGACATTAAATAAGCAAACAGAAAATGTAAAAGATCGCTTATAATCAAATAATTGAAAGTTGAAATAAGTCAGCAGTAATAATATCTTTTAAAAAAGAGAAATTGAAGGAATTTTTATTTAGCTTTGGGGTCTCTGTGAGATTCCAAGATGGAAAGTAGGTTCTTACCCCAGAACCACATTTAGATTTCACTCATTTCTTCAGGCTGCAGAGGGCTCAGGAGCTTGTGTGGCACAGACAATGTGGAAGCAATTCAGAGGTTGAGTCTGGGATCAGGTGGACCTGTCATGATGCTTTCATGATGACTTTCTGTCCCTACTAGAGCCTCCTGTGAAAAATAACTTTCACTTTTCTTAATCTCCCTCTTCTATAAGATCAGCTTGTGGGAAAATTTCAAGTAGTGCCCCACAGGGATTGATGGAGTGTTCTTGTCATGCATTTGTGCCTTCTCTGGAAATGGGATCTTTTCTAATACAGAAGAACCTATACTTTTTCTCCAAGATTTCAAAATTCCAAAATTATAGAGATGGCCAAGGGCTTATTATATTTTTCCCATGATTTGGAATAGGATTGACTCCAGGGTTGGGAATGGTGGAATATACAGATGGGGATCAAGGGGCATAAGAGGTGGGGTGGCAAGGGTCGGCGCAGGAGAGGCAGAGTGGTGGGGAATAGGGCAGCATCTGGGGGTGGCTGTCCTTGGCTCAGTATTTAGAAGTGCTAACATGAAGGGACTGCAACGATGTGTGAATGTTTGTCCCTCCTCTTATACCCCATGGGACAGGGTCCTTTAATGGCAATGCCTTGAAGGTTTGGTTAATAATTTTGATTTTCTTCCCTGTTGTTATCTAGAAATGTCTTTGTATAATACAACTAATGGTAGTATTTTAACGCATTTAGTGTTTACAATAGTTCTGTGAAACAGGAATGGTTATTAGCCCTTCCTCACAGAAGAGGAAGCTGAATTACAGAGAGGTTAAGTGACATGTATGGTGGCATCACCAGCCGGGCAGTGGTGGAGCTGGAATTGGATCTCTTTCTCTTAATGACTATACTGCTTCCCAGGAAGAGTCCCTGTTACACTACAAGTGATACATCCTGATACACTACAGGCCTTGGAGTGAGGTATGGCATGGATAACCTAACCACAGAATTTGGAAAGCTTAACCATGTCTCACTCCTATATTGTTTGATTGGTTGATTAATTCATTCATTAGATTAAACCATGAAAACCTACTATGTGCCAGACATGTGTTGGATGTGGGGAATTCAGAGATAAGTAAGATAGAGTCTCTGCCTAAAGGAAGCTCACCACCTAGGTAGAAAACATGGCTACAATTCTTTACTAAGTAATAGTGCACATGTGATTGTAGAAATAAGTATGGCATGCATTTGAGTCACCCAGGAAAAGGCAAATCCAGGGAGTCAGGGGAAGATTGAAGAGCTGACATTTGAGTAAGGCCAGTAAGAAAACTAAACACAACCACCACTCAAGTGATACATTCGCTGTATAAAAATGCAAATTGTTCAGAGTAGATAGAATAAGGAGGGCAAAACTACTTGCCTCCCGGTGGTATTTATTAAAAGTTTACTATGTATTCTTCCAGACATTTTTTTCTATATATTTACATAAAAATATACATATACGAATACACAGGTTAGGACTATAACAAAATGGGTGCATTTATACATACTATTCTGCACATTGTCCTCCCAACTTACCGATTCTCTAAGTCTTCCCAACTTAGAAATTTTTCCATGTCACATATTATAGGTCCATTCATTCTTTTAATTGTTGGGTAATAATTGATTAAGTGAGTATAGCATGATTTATTTCCCATCTTGCTATTGATGGGTATTTAGGTTATTTCTTTTTTTTTTTTTGCTATCATAAACAATACTGTCATAAAAGTTAGCATATGTATCATTGTCACTATGTGTTTGGCATACAAATTATTATCTGTATTTGTCATTTCTGTAGTATATATGCTCACTTCAAAATTTGATATACATAAATAAATTAGGCTGTGTAGTGGCTGTTTCAGTTGACATTCCTACTCTTAAGTTTGAGTGCCCATTCCCTTATGTACTTGTCCATATCGGATGTTAACAATCTCTGAAAATTTGGCCAAGTATGTAAGGGAATGGGCACTCAACCTTAAGAGTAGGCATATCGACTGAAACAGCCACTACAGAGTCTAATTTATTTATGTATACCTCATTATTTAAAATTTATTTCTCTGATCACTAATATGTTTGTGTTTACTTATATTATGTTTTATACTTTCAGCTTTTAAATTATTATTAATATTTTGTTTTCAGTATTTTGCTATCTGGGGCATATTTTGTTGTTTCCTTCAGTGATTTGTAGGGCTCACATCCTGCTTGAAATTTCATATTGCTGAACTCTTCATTTTTTACAAACTTCCCTCAGTCTATATTTCATTGAAGATGAGATAATTTAGTTATCGATCTCCCTGCGACTCTCCTGTATAAGATTTTTTTTAGCATTATTTTACTTTATTTTCCATTCTCTGCTACACTTCACTACCCCTCCTCCCACCCTTGTTCTTCCTACTGAGTTTGGGGATCCAGATTATTGCTAAATTATTATTCTTTTACTTTTCACATCTTTAAAGAAAATTTCTAGATTTATGTATTTGATTTTGTATCCATGTATGCCATTATTTTTGCCTTTGACGGCCTGCGGTATTTACTGCTAGTCTTTTTATACTACAACTCACAGCTTTTTATTCTGATTTATCACTCATCTGACTGTAGTTGGTATTTAGCTATTTTTTTAAAGAAGAGGAAGAGTTTGGTATGTTTTCTAGGTGGACCCCTGTATGCCTGAGGGTGTTTTTCTATTTCCTTAATACATGACTGACAACTTGGCTGGGTGTACAGTTTTAGGGTTTTTGTTTTTCTTTTGTCAAAACTATCTTTTTGGATTTAGTATATGGAGGAGACATCTGAGCTCAGATTGATTTTATTTTCCCTTTGTAAGAATTACTCCTACCCAGTTTGGTTGTTTGTAAAACTTCTCCTTCTTCTATTTAGATAAGTTCTAAAGGCACTAAAAAATACAAGGAATAAAATAGACATTAATACTCCCAATACCTGGAATGAACATATTTATATTCTGTCACACTTGCTTCAAGTCTCTTTCTTCCTTTCTTCCTTTCCTTCCCTCCCTTCTTTCCTTCTTCCCTCCCCTCCCCTTCCATTCCCTTCCCATCAACATTACAGATATAGCTAAAGTGCCCTTTAACCTTTAACCAGCACTTCTTATTCCACTCACCAGTCTCCTCTACGACCACTCAAGAACAACCACTATTAGAATTTAAAATGTAACTTTTTAGGCCATTTCTTTATAATTTTGCATACATATTTATAAATCCTATATATATATCTATATAATAATATATATATAATTATATATATTATATATAGTTTCAAAACACTTATTTTGAAGGTGTATGTGTTTTCTTTGTATAAATGGTATCATATTATTCTGTATCTTTTTAGTGAATTCATTTTTCTTAATCTCTGTACTTAAAAGATTGCTAGGATGTGTTGAGATGACGTCTTTTTCTTTATTTTTGGTAATATACTTGGATCCCTTTTAATTTAAAATTCAGGGTTTTTTTTTCAGTGTAGGAAGTTGTTTTTTTTTTCTTTCAATTATGTTTTTGTTTATTGCTTCTGCTTGAATTATTCTAGTCTTCCCTTGGGAATACCTATAATGTATAGAGTGGATCTAATCTATTTTTCCCTTATTTATGCTTTGATGTGGCGAGGTTAATCAAAACTCAGTGCTTGTTAGCAGACGTGTATTTCTGTTATTTAAGTCTGCACTATTAACATTCCTTTTAGGGTCATAGTTATGGGGAAGGCTGGCATGCTCCACTCCCAGCCCAATTTCCAGTTTCTCCAAGTTTTTGCCGTGGATACCTCTAAGGTACTGAATGACTAATTTTACTCTCTAGTTCTGCATTCCCAGATGCACTGAAGAGAGAAAGTTAACAAAAAGCCTAAAATCCCGAATATCACTTCATTCCCCCAATCTTTCAATCTTTGGTCCAACCTACCTCATTTACATATATGCAATAAACCTTCCAGGATGCTTTTCAGGGCCAGCAGAATCTCCACTCCCTGTTCTAGTCTTGTTTTTCTGAAATTTGCTATCACAGAATGACTAAAGAAAAAATTAGGAGGAACAGGGTTGAGGTATAGTACTCTAGACTTCTCTACATACCACACAGATCCTGGCAATAAGCTATCTGTAAGTTAATTTGTTAGCTTTGGGTGGTATTATAAGTTCTTTCTCTCTGTCTCCCTTCCACCCATCCTCTCCCTCTCTCCCTGTCTTTGTGTCATTCTTTCCAGCTAATTTAGTGGTAGCTTAAGAATAGACAGTTAACTAGACCCAATTTTAACTGGAATACATTTGAGTCTTGAGTCTCTAAGTTTCTCTTACCTCCCAGTTTGGAGCACCATGGAATTAGGTTCTTAGAGTAGCAGCTCCTTAGGTAGATAAGAGGAAAGTGAGAGTGGTGCTGGGGTCAGTACTAATGAGGCATTCTAGGAGAGGAAAACACATGTGCAATGGGAAGACGATAGGAAGAACATAGTATACGTAAGGGGTTTTGAATTATTGATGAAACCGTCTTAGTTTTAAGAATTTGGGTTTTGTTATTGGACCAGTTCCATTAATTACTCTCTGTGTGAATTTTTACAAGTCACTCAAACACTCTTCACTTTCCTCATCTGTAAAATGGGGACAGTAAGAGAAGCCAGTTCATATGATTGTTGCAAAGATTAAATAATATAATGCATATGTGTTAAGTGCTTAGCATAGAGTAAGGGTCAATAACTGTCAGGTTTTGTTACTACTATTGTTATTGTTCATGTTGAATTTTGACCTAAAATACAGCTGGAGTCAACTGTGGCCAGAAAATGAAGGGTCTTGCATACATAGGTAAAGGATTTTGGACTGTGAGAAACCACTAACAAGAGCAAGGACAGTGACATGATCAGATTTGTGTTGAAATGTCTGCTGTGCTTTGGAGAACACCTTGAATGCAGAGACTAGGGCCAGGTCAGTGATATGCAGAAGTGACTGCACTTTAGCTTGTGACAGCCAATTGTTAGGTTTTCTGCATAGGTTGATAAATATATCCATTATTAAGTATTACATTATATAAAGGTATAATTAAATTATATTGAAATCAAAGATAAATAAGATAAAGCTTATTACTTCCTAATTATCTTACTGTATTTTACTATTTTCACGTTTCTGAGGTTACTTGTATCCACTGTATCTGTATGGTAGAAATACAATATAATGGTGAGCTACTGAGCATCTCTTCCCAATCAGTGAAGTCACTGGTAGCTTTAAATGGGCCAGGTGAGGGGCAATTACACAGTGGAAGTCAGCAAAGTTTACAAATTGGGGTTTTCCCCATGACCCAGAGAGGGAGATCAGTTGTGAAACCTTTATGAATGCACCACTGGGCCAGAGAAGCACATTAGAAAGCTACTGAAACAGTCTGCAGAGAAACAAGAGTTTGACTCTAAGCACTTGGAGTGGAGAGGAGGGAGACAGATTTGAGAGATACTTTAGTGTTAGAATCAGTAAGATTCTACTGATTGTAAGTAGGGGAAAAGAAGATGAAGATTGAAGTCTGAAAAGGAGTTATCTGGCTTAAGCAACTCTCCCTTGCTGTTTTTGATGAAGCAAGCTGCCATATTGTGAGCTGCCCTATGGAAATGCCCACATGACAAGCAATGGAAGGTGGCCTCTGGCCGAAAGCCAGCAGAGGGCTGAGGCCCTTAGTCCAGGTTCTGAATCCTGCCAACAACCATGTGAGCTTTGAGCCTTCATATAAGACTCTAGCTCTGGTTGACACTTGATTGCAGCCTCTTGAGAGACCCTAAAGTAGAAGATTCAGTTAAGGTGTGCCCAAATTCCTGACCCTCCAAAACCATGAGATAATAAATGTGTGTTATTGTAAGCTGCTAAATTTGTATAGTTTCTTATACAGCAGCAGAAGGTAACAAATGCAAGTCTTTTGTATAACTTAGCCTTAGGGATTGAGGTTGCTGGAGTCTAGCCTTCAAGTCCACTGAGAAGAGTTCTGCAGTAGAACCTGGTCAGGTCTTGTCCTTCTGGGTGACAGGGGAGTTGACTCAGGGCTTGCCAGGCTGCATTCTGCTTTTCCTGTGTGCAGAGTGGAGCCTTCAGGATTCTGAAAAGTGGTTGGCAGTGCCCTGTTGGGCAAATCTGTGTAAGAGTGATAGCTGAGGTGAGTCCTGCTGTACCTCTCGGAGCCAGTCACTGATTAATTCTTCTCTGTTGAACAAACCATTGTCCCTCCTCTATGGATGACCTCTGGGTTGGGCCAGAATTCATGTCTGAAGATATGCTCACTTTCCAGAAATGGGAAGGACCTTGAAGAGAACCATGGGTGATTTTTAACATTAACTGTTTAACATGAGAAAGACCACATGCTACCACATTCTCTCTTTTTTTTTTTTCCGTCAGAGAGGATTAAAAAAATTAATGAAGATTTCTGTTTATTTAAATCATCTAGGACAGAGGAAAATGGAAGATACACAATTTGAGATGATGCCAGCTATAAAAGGAACTCTGAATGGGATTTGGAAACTAACTGGCAAAAATTGTGGGTCAGCATCTTGCTCCTGATCCCTTAGGCTGAAGAGAGCTCCTTGTTTCTTGACACTGTGCCCCAGAAATGGTGTTTAAGTAAGACCATGGGCAAGACAGGAGTCTACTAAAGTGACTTATTTTTCCAGACTTCTATTTTAAAAACAGAAGTCTAATTGCCTTTGGGGGAATTGAAATAAAAGAATAATGTTAATTTATTTTTAAAACCAATTACCAGCATTTAAAAGGCTGCCTCTGTAGGATGTCAAGATGAACTCCTCATCTACACTGACCTCTTAATAACACGCTCATTGAAATATTTTTTTGCCTGAAATAGGCTAATCTTAAATAAGCATCCTTTTGCGGGGTCGGTGGGGGGAGTGGGTGGTAAGATCCATTTATTTATTCAACGAATATTTCCTGCATGGCTATTTGGTACCAGGCACTGTTCTAGGCATGCCGTTCATTCTAGTGAGGGAGAAAAAAAATAACCAGATGATTTACATATTATGTAATATGAAAATATAGTGATGTATTATCCAGAAAATATAAGTATATACAATATGACATGAATTTGAGAAAAAAAATATATGACATATAGTAAAATTAATATTGTTAATTTTAATGCATTTATTAAAATGTAATATTATTGTAATTATATAACATAATGCCAGGTTAGTGATAGATGTAACTCAATTTGTAAGCTCACAAAATCTAAAAGTTTCTTTCTTTGTGATATGTTGAAATGGAAAAAAGGATGATTTAGTCTTCAGAAAAATAAAGACTATTTTCTCAAAACGGGAAAGGGATGAAGACACTGTTTTTTTTTTTGAGACAGAGTCTCGCTCTGTCGCCCAGGCTGGAGTGCAGTGGCGCGATCTCGGCTCACTGCAACCTCCACCTCCCGGGTTCACGCCATTCTCCTGCCTCAGCATCCTGAGTAGCTGGGACTACAGGTGTCTGCCACCACGCCCGGCTAATTTTTTGTATTTTTAGTAGAGACGGGGTTTCACCGTGTTAGCCAGGATGGTCTTGATCTCCTGACCTCGTGATCTGCCTGCCTTGGCCTCCCAGACTGCTGGGATTACAGGCGTGAGCCACCGCGCCCGGCTGGGATGAAGACACTTCTAAAGGCTGCTCTGGAGAGACATTTGGTGGCCCTGGCCTATTAGGTAGGAATGCACATAACTCCTTTCCTCATGTGACAAAGGGTCAGGGAGGCAGCCAGCAGCTAGAGCGGGCCAGCAGCTGGATGCACCAAGACGAGCTTTCCCTTGGGCTTTTTGCCTCAGAGTCACAAAATGGCTGTTCCCGCTTCAGGAATTGTTCCCACCTTCAAAGCAGAACGATGGGGGATGGGGCAAGGCCAGCTTTATTTCTCTCCTTTATAAGGAAAGCAAAAACTTCCCCAGGACTATCTCCACCTCAGCAGACTTCTGCTCCATCATAGTGGACAGATGGGTGTCACACTGTCATCCCTACCTGTAAGGGAGACTGGGAAAGTGTATACTTAGCCATTCCATGTTTTATCGTGGAAGGGATCAAAGGAGTAAGGAAGTGGGTATGGGTGTGGCATCAGCCAATCAGCAGGGCTTGCCCCAGGGATCTTTGAGTTAGGGGTATAAAAGGCATTGATTTGTTCTTCAAGCTTTCCCCAAATTCCATTCTTATCAGCTACCATGGTTTCCTCTGATGCAGAGGAAGCCAGAAGCGGCTTGGTAGCAAGAGTCTTAGGATGAACTATATTTGTTTGGGCTAAGGAGCTTTGGGAGCATGGATAAACCATAATGATGGAATCACAGGAGAGCTTTTGGTAGAAAATGATATACTAAGCAGGGAATTGACAATCATGGCTTAGCTCCATGCTAGAGGTGGGGAAGATGGAAGATTAATAGGATTGTAGGAAACAAGACAAATGACTATTCCTTGGCAGGAAGAGTGCTGGTGGGGGGGATAGTATACTCTTAAGGCCAATTAGTCCAAGTATGATATAGCAAAGGTTGTTCAAATAAAACAACAGGTTGTGGATGATGCAGAAAGATCTGATATGGACAGAGAACCCAGGATTGTGAGAAAACCAGGTTGAAACAATTCTAATATTGGGTTGAAGTTGAGACTGTATGGATATTGGGGGCTGGGGGAAATAAAGCAGGAGAGGGGCAGGTTCTGTCACTTTATTGGAGGTCATGGGTGGAAGAATGCCTGCTTGGCCGCCAGGCCAGGAAGCAATTATGGAAGTACAGAAAGCAAAGGGCATCAGAGGGCATATGGTTCACTTCCTATATGCCTGTAGGAACAAGGTAAGTGAAACAAATTCCATAATCACTCTTGGTAGAATTGAGTTTATACTGGTTCACTATATGTTTATAGAACTAGTTTGAAAAATCCCTGGGTCAATGGCCAGGTCTGACCTATGAGGATGATTCACTAGTATTTTCATATAGGATGATCTTTATTATACAGTGATATTCTTTAGTGATTGGTTGAGAAAGCATTTGGCCTATTGAAGGAACCCTATCAAAACTCTTGAGAGGACTTACAGGCTGACATGTAAGATTGGAGAATCCAATGACTGATGTGCACAGATACTTTGATTGGAAAGCAGGTGCATCCTTCAGCGGGATTATAGGTATTGGGGCTCAGTTTATGAGGGTTAAATATGATCACCATTAGGAAATCTCATCTCCCAGATTCAGAATTAGAATTTTAGGGTACTTTTGTAGAGTTATTTGAAACAATTAGTGTATTGAAGTGTAATAACCTTGGCTAGACTGTTGAATATGATAGGAACCCAAGTGACTTGCCTCGTGTTTAAAGAAATAGTCCGGCAGGCATAGGAAAAAGTAATTTCAATCTTTACTTGTATCCCTTGAGGGATTAAACAAATATTCAGTTTATAACTTATAATACTACTTATTAAGATTTCCTTGCCTCTCCTTTCCAGAAGCTTCTTAGGGTTTGTCATTTTCTAAATCATCACAACTTTCTCCAACACCTGGGATACTTTTTTTCTCTCTTCCTCACTTCCTGCTTTCTTCAGCACATTATTAATCAGATAAACTTGGGCTTTTTGTTTTATTTTGCTTTCTTTCCCCAGGGACTATTTTCCTGAATTTTCCACAATATAGGAAAGGCCAGGAACTGATCCAGTAAGATTACGACCCC